>NT_187581.1:0-186169 GCF_000001405.40 Homo sapiens
AGTAGGAGGAGGAGGAGGAGGAGATAATTAAGCTATTACCATCTCAAATAAACAGAGGCCAAGAGAGATAATCACTGGTAGGCCTGCCCTCCAAGAAATTCTGGACCATGCTAGAGAGTCCTTTGGGCTGAACTGAATGGAAAGTATTATGAAGCCACATGAAGAAATAAAGATCATCAGTGAAGATAACTACATAGATAAACATAAAAGCCATATTTAATTTTGGTTTGTAACCCTTTTGTTCTTGGTAATTTAAAGAAAGCAAACATAATGTAATCATTGCAAATTGGTATAAAGGTATAATGATATACATTATCATTACTTGTGATATCAATATTTGTGACATTGTAATGTCACAAGTGGCATGTTATACATTGGTAATTGTGACATTACCCACATAGGGGGTGGCATACACAGGTGAGTAGAAGCCAGCTTTATATACTTTTGAGGCTATGTTCTACTAATCCAAGGTGGATCATTAGAAGTAATTCACTGCAACCCCAAGGTAACCACAAAGAAAATAATGAAAACCTCTAGAGATGAAATTTAGAAGAGAATAAAAATGGCACACTATAAAAAATCAATTATGCACCAAAGAAGGGAAGATGGAGGAAATGAGCAACCAAAATCCATAAGACATGTAGAACACAAACAGAAAAATGGCAGAAGCAAGGCCTTATTAGTAATTACTTAAAATGTAAATGGAATAAACTCAAATTAAAGGCAGAACTGGCAGAATGAATAAAAAGAAAACATTGTCTAACTGTATGCTAGCTACAAGAGATTCAGTTTAGATCAAAGCCACAAATATGTTGAAAGTAATAGGATGTAAAAAAATATTCCATGCAAAAAGCAACTAGAAGACATTTAGGAACCAGGCAAGGTAACTCATGCCCGTAATCCCAACACTTTGTGAGGCCAAGGTGGGAGCATCGCTTGAGGCCAGGAGTTTTGAGACCAGCCTGGGAAGCATAGTGAGACCACATCTATAAAAAAAATTAAAGTAAAGGAAATCTAGGGTAACTATACTAATAGGTGAAGCAAAATGGACTTTAATTCAAAGTTTGTTACCAGAGACAAAGAAGAACATTATACGTTCATGAAAGGACTAATTAATAAGAACTTATGACAATTATAAACATATATGACCCTAACAACAGAGGCATATATATAGGAAGCAAAAATTGAAGCATAAAATAGGCAGTTTTAACATAATCGTTGGAGTCTTTAACACTCCATTTCAATAACAAACAGAACAACCAGACAGAGGATCAACAAGGAAACAGAAGACTTGAGCAACATTTTAAACCGTTAGACCTAATAGACAACTACAGAACAGTCCAACCAACAGTAGAATACACACTTTCTCCAGCATACATGGTATATTCTTCAGTATAGACTACGTGTTAGGCCCCAAATAAGTCTCCATAAAATTTTAAAAAGATTGAGCTTATACAAATGATTTTCTCACACACTTGATCTTAGCCAAAAGGCCGAGAAGTGATAAATGATTTTCTCCAACCACGATTAAATGCAACTAGAAACACAAAACTGAGGGAAAACTGGAAATTCACAAATATGTAGCAATTAAACAAAATACTCTCAATTAGTGGCTCAAAGAAGAATCACAAGGTAAATTGCAAAATACTTTAATAGAAATGAAAACAAAGCATGCCAGAACTATGGGATGTGACAAACACAGTGCACAGAGTAAAATCTATAATTATAAATGTGTACATTAAAAACAGTAAGAATAAAACTCAAGCAAGTTAAGGAAGAACGATGTGTTATTCTGCTAGGGCTGCCATAACAACAACAACAACAGAAAACCAAAAAACAAATGTATTGTTTTCTCACAGTGTGGAGCCTAGATGTTGAAGATTAAGGTGCCATCAGGGTCACTTCTGGTGAGGCCTATTCTGTTTGAAGATGGCCATCTTCTCACTGTGTCTTAACATGGCCTTTTCTCTGTGTCCATGCAGAGAGAGGTCTCTGGTGTCTTCCTCATTTTATAGCATACTAGTCATATGAGATTAGGACTCCACCTTCTTTAACCTTGATTTCCCTTTCCAAAATACATACATACATACACACATACACATACATGCAGATAGATAGATAGATAGATAAAGATCTCCAGTCAATAACCTAACTTTACATCTAAGAAACTGGGAAAAAAGCAAATAAAACCCCAAAGCAGCAGAAAGAAAGAAATAATAAAGATTAAAGTGGAGATTAGTGAAATAGCGAATAGAAAAACAACAGAATCAATCAAGCCAAAAGTCGATGTTTTGAAGAGATGTATAAAACTGAGAAAACTTTAACTAGACTAGAAAAAAATCAGAGCAGACTCAAATTCCTAAAACGAGAAATGACTGTGGGGACAACACTATTCACCTCGCAGACTCCAAAAGATTCTAAGAGGACACATTGTGCAATTGTATGGAAATAAATTAGATAATCTGATGGAATAGCAAAGTCCTAAAAAGACAAAAACTGTCAAAATTGACCCAGGAATAAACAGAAAATATAAACAACTAAAACAAGAGATTGAATCAGTTATCAAAAATCTCCAACAAACGTTAAGTCAGAGACCAGATGGCTCCAATGATAAATTCTACCACATATTTTAAAAATAATTAACACCAATCCTTCAAATTCTTCTAAAAAATAGAAGAGGAAGAAACACTTCCTAACTCATTCTGAGGCTAGTATTATTCTGATTCCACAGCTAGATAAGGGTTTCATTAAAAAATCTATAGGCCAATATCCCTTATGAATAAGGATGCAAAAACATTTTCAACAAAATACCAGCAAAATAAATCCAACAGAATGTGAAAAGGATTATGTCTGATGACTGCTATGGCTTGGATAGGCTCTGTCCCCTCCAAATCTTATGTTAAAATTTTAATGCCTCGTATGGTGGTATTGGGAGGTGGGGCTTGCTGAGAGGGGTTTGGATTCAGGGGCAGATCCCTCATGAATGTCTTGGTGACCTTCTCCCTGTGATGATGAGTGAGTTCTCACTCTGGTGTGACAGGATTGGTTCTTGGGGGAATGGACTAGTTTCTGGGAGAATGGGTTATTATACAGTATTTACTATATTTACACTCAGTGCAAAGGTTCTCACCAGAAGTTGAGCAGCTGCCAGCACCATGCTTCTCACACAGTCTGCAGAGCCATGAGCTAAGTAGATCTCTTCTCTTTATAAATTACTCAGCCTCAGGCATTCTCTTTTAGTGACAGAAAATAGACTCAGACAATGACCAGGTGGGATTTATCCAAACACAAACTTGTGTAAACATGAAAATCAACCACATAAATAGACTAAAGCAATAAAACCCAATCATCTCAATCAATGCAATAAAAGCATTTGACAAAGTACAAATTCTTTAGTAATAAAAAATACTCAATAAATAAGAATATAAGGTAATTTTCTCAACATAAGTGAACATTCCACAGCTAACATTGTATTTAATAGTGAAAGACTGGACCTTTCTCCCCATGATCAAGAGCCAGACAAGATGCTTGCTTTTGCTATTTGTATTCAACATAGTATTGGAAGTTTTAAGCAGAGTAATTAGGAAAGAAAAATAAATAAAAGGCATCCAAATTGAAAAGAAAGAAGCAAAATTATATTTGTTGCAGATAACATGGTCATACATGAATACTAAAAGTTCCATGCACAAAAACACAGGTAAATACGTGAAATCAGCAAAGTTGCAGAATAGAAACTCATCACAGAAGAATCAGTTGCAATCCTACACATTATCAATGACCATTTCACAAGGAAAATTAAAAAAATTTCCATAAATACAAAAGCATCAAAATACAATATACTTAGGAATACATTTAACCAAGGAGGTGAAAGACTTGCACACTGAAAATGACAAAACAATGTTAAAAGAAAATTTAATAAGACAAAAGTAAATGAGAAGACGTTCTAGGTTCATGGATCAGATGAATATTGTTAAGATACCCATGCTATCCAAAGTAATCGCAGATTCCATGCAATCCGTATTAAATCCTAATGGCATACATTTTACAGAAATTAAAACAAATTCTAAAATGTATATGGAATCTCAGGGGACCCTGACTAGCAAAACAATTTTACAAAGGAACAAAGTTGGAGGCCTCACACTTCCTGACTTGAAAACTTACTACAATGCTACAGCAATCAAAACAAGGTGTCATGGGCACAAGTACAGAAATTTAGAAAAATAGAGTAGAATAGAGAACCCAGAAATAAACTCTTGCATACATGGTTAATTAATATTTGTCCAGGGTAGTAAGACCATTCAATGGGAAAACAATCATTTTTTCAACAAATTATGCTGAGGAAACTGGTTAGCCACAGGCAAAAGAATGAAGTTAGACCCTTACCTTATACCACATACAAAAATTTATTTGAAATTTATCAAAGATCCAAACATGAGTTAAAAATATAAAACTCTTAGAAGAAAAAGTAGGAGAATATCTTCATGGCATTGCATTAGGCAATTATGTGTTGGATATGATACCAAAAGCACAAACAACAACAAAAAATAGATAAATTGGACTTTAATGTGAAGAACTATCCTGCATCAAATGACACTATCAACAGAATAAAATGACAGCTCACAGGATGATTGAAAACATTTGCAAATCATATACCTGCTGAGGAATTAATATTCAGAACATATAAATAACTTCTACAACTCAACAACAAAAAACAAATAGCCCAATTCAAAAAAAAAAGAAAAATGAACCAAGGACTTGAACAGGTATTTCTCCAAAGAAAATATACAAATGGCTAAAAAGCACATGAAAAGATTCTCAGCATGACTTATCATTAGTCAAATGCAAATCAAGACTACATGAAAAGATACAACTTCACATCCATTTGGATGGCTCTTAAAAAATAAAAATAAAAAAGCAAGGAAAGAAAGTAACAAGTGTTGGTGGAGATGTGAAGAAATTAGAACCTTTGTGTATTGCTGGCAGGAATTTAAATTAACACGGCTGCTGTAGAAAAGTTTGGCAATTCTTCAAAAAAGTAAACAGTTACTATATCTAATCTTATGTATATACCCCGAAGAATTGAAATCGGGGTCTCAAACAGATACTTGTACACTAATATTCATTGCAGTGTTATTTATTATAGCCAAAGAACAACCTCAATGTTCATTGACAGATGAATAGATAAACGAAATACGGTCTATACATCCAATGAAATACTGTTGATCCTTAAACACAGTGTAATTCTGATAGTGCTCCAACATGGATGAAACATGAAAACATTATGCTAAGTCAAATAAGTCAGCACAAAGCACAAATATTGTATGATTCCACCTACGTAAGATGCCTAGAATAGTCAAATCCATAGAGATAGAAAGTAAAATAGAAATTACTAGGGACAGGGGGTGAGATGAGATATTGTTTAAAGTTATTAATTATTTTGGGGGTTGTTAAAAGACAAAGGTACAACAAATTTAGTTTAAAGGTGTAATTGGCTTTTATTTGCAAGTCTAGAATCAGGCAATACCACATTCTATAATATAGAATGACTGTTGGAATAAGCTAAGCAGAAGAGGTTGTCTTTACAGGCAGAAAAGAGCTGAAGAAAGCAGAAACAGAACAAAAAGCAATTTGGTAACCTCAAAGTCACTTTCCTTGTAAAGGTTAAAGCAGACTTGTTTATCATGCTGGCTATAACTTGCCTGTTTTGAAATTTGGCTATTATCTCTCTTTTTCTTGATTTCTAAGAAGGTCAGATAAACAATCTGGTTTCAGCCGGTTGGCTCGGAACTTCAGCCTGGGTGACTCAATTCTGGCTTAGTCTGTTGCACCTAGTGCAGGAGCTCAGTCCAAATCGGTGGCCTCCTAGAGATTTTATTTGACAAGGGTTATTGTTTAATGGGTACGGACTTTCTTTTTGGGATGATGAAAAAGTTCTGAGAATGAATAGTGGTGATGATCATATGATATTGTGAACATACTTAATGCTGCTAATTCATACACTAAAAATGGTTAAGATGGTAAATTTTATGTTTTGTAAATTTATCACAATAAAAGTAAACAGTGGAAGCATTCACAACAGGCAAGAACGAGATCGAGGAGAGAGTAATGCTGTGGGGGTGAAGAGAAAAGGGGAGTCAAATTTCCTGGACAACAGAGTCAACTGGTTCAAGCACTTCAGACATCCTGAGCGAAATACGTAAGCGTTGGAAATAGAAATAAACTCATAATGTTGATGCCCTATTTCAAGGAGAACAAGGCCTGTGGCTGTCAGTGCTGCTTTGGCCTGAGAAAATCCGGTGTGTGGGAAGAGACATTCTCTGGCGGAGAAGCGTAGAGGAGAGCACTGGCCATGCCATGGGAGATAAATGGATTTCAGAAGAGGACAGTAACTGAATGATGCTTTTGGTGAAGAGGATATGGGATTCATTCAGGGAGGTTTGTGGCTTGTTCATTTGTTCGTTTGGTTTTGTTTTCAAAGGATAGGATAAGTTTGAAAGCAAAGAGTAGAAGTGGGAGGGACATTGGCTGATGGAGGACTGGTAAAGGAGACAATGTGGATGCATGTGGCGATGAATGACTGAACAATCTACTTTTGGGGCACTGCTGGTTTTGGAGTAATCAGGGTTGTGATTTGATGTCTACTTTGTTCGTGGCTGAAAAGGAGCAGGTCAAACATTAGCTAGTAACACTTGCTTTAAATAGCATTTTTTTTTCCACATTTGGAGAGGTCAAATCACCAACAGCTCCTTATTTTCTATGTCTCTTATTTTATTTTTAAATGTTTCCTCTTTAGAAAAATAAATGAAATGGATAATAGCCCAGGTTCTGGGTTCGGACTGCTTAAGAATAAATCCTGATTCTCTTTTCATTAACTGATGGAAGCTGGTTCATTTTCTTTTTCTAGATTCGGTATCTCATTTGATGGGTTTGGTTGAAAATTCAATGAGATATTGTGAAGAAAGCACTTAGAACCTTGTCTGGGGCACAGGAAACACTTAATAAATGATGGCTCCTCTTCACCCTCCTCCTCCTCCTCACTCTTTTTTGTCCTCCTCCTCCTCCTCTTTTGGTCTCCTCCTGCTCTTCCTCCTCCTCCTCTTCCCCTCCCTCCTCTTTCTCCTTCTTCTCTTTCTTTAGGGGATTTCTTACCCACTGGAGGTAAGTTTAGGACATTCTCAAAACCAGACTTCTCAGTCTTCACTAGTCAATGTGAAGTTCCTGGATCAGCAGCCTCAGCAATTCCTGTGAACTTGCTAGAGATTCAGAAGACTGGGCTCCACCCAGAACTCCCTGGTCAGACCTCTCAACAGACTCACCAGGCGACTCCAGCCACAGTGCAGCTGAGAAGCCTTGCAGTGCTGTGGATTTCCGGCAGGCTGCTTTGGTCTGACACTGACTTCATTGATCTTCTGCTCCGAATCCATTCATTCCACTCCCACATGCAACAAATCAAAGAAAAATGGAAATGACAATGATAAAAATTGCCTCAGAAATGACTCTTTCATTAATGTTTCTTATGCTGAGAACAAAAAACATTTTTTATACATATTTCAAATTTTTTTATACATATTTCACTTGTTCCTCACATCAAGCTTGGAAAACAGAGAAAAGTGACTGTCCCACTTGCAAGTAAGACCAAATGCACTGGAAATTATGGTAAAAATGTGACCCACCCAGGCCAAATTTCTGTCCTTTCTGTGAATACAAAATGCTAGGGCAGAGAAATGTTTCTCCTTTGTTCAGAAAAATCATCTTGAAATCAATGTGAACTCAACAGGAGACAGGCAGGAATTCCACAGAGAACAAACACAGGCTGAGAACTTGACTGCTGGGACTGCAGCTGCAGCCAGCTGTGGTCAGTGCAGAGTGCCAGAGCCTCCAGGACACTGGGGTGGTAGCCCTGTCTGCTTTTGGCCCTCTTCTTTCCTCTTTTCCACTTGCAGAGCCCGGCCAAGATGTGACCAACTCCTTGACAAAGCTCCCTGGGTATGGAGACTAAGTAGGCATAGGAGAAATTGCTCCTCTGCTGATATAAGTCACCACCCAGGTGCAAGACAGCAGAGAGCTATGTCATCAATTCATCCCACTTAGCACCATGCTCCTCAACTCGCTGACACTTTAATGAGCATGTCCAGATTTGTGGCCTGACTCCAGGGAGAGAATAATTAGAGGCCCCTGACAAGGGAACAGAGAAATAACGTAAATGACCCAAGGGGTAGCAGGTTCAATTACAGTATAAAGCCCTCATTGGGGATTAACCAGTCCTTGGAAATGGCAGTGATTGATTGGCAGGTGCTGGGTGGAGAGCAGAGGGGAGGCTGGGCTCGGTTCTGTCGGATCTACAGAGGGAGGCCATGCTGTGCCAGCAGAGCCCCCTTCAAGGAGGCTTGGTTGGGAGACTCTGCTTGTCAAGAAGATGGCTCTGGCCTCCAGAATTTGTGTGATTGGTCACTCTACCTCCAACAGCCTGACCTATCCTGGAAGAGGAGGGAATGAAGGCTGGAGCCTCCTTCCCAATGATGAATCTTAGGGAAGGAAATTCCCTTGCCTTCCTGGATAATTCTAAGGGGCATTGAAGAACAGACATTCTTGCTAAATATCACGTTCCACTAAAAATACCTGTATTTGAGTTGGGTGAAAGATTATTGCCCCAATCCTTGGCATTGTGCACTTTTATGGAAGCCACTTTTGTTTCTCAGGGATAAATTTGCCAGAGAACAACAATAATCAATGACATCAAAATCAAGACTGAATATATCCAGCTGCTTTCTTTAGCATCTTCTTCAACATGCAATGGGCCCAGTTTCCGCACAGTACAAGAGCATGAGACAGCTTTGAACAGCAGAGTCTTTCATGGAAACCTGAAGTTAGGGGAGACAGGGTGGGCCAGTGAACCTGGCATCCCGACCTGTCCTAGCCTGGGCCCTGTGCATACCTGGACAGTTATGTGACTTCTCTGGACCCCAGTTTCCTTGACTGTACAATGGCAAGGGTGAATGAGACGACCCCCAGACTCTTCCAGTCTACTAGCCCATGATCCTAGTTTGCCAGTCTAGCCCACTTCTAGTTTTCAATGCTTCCTATGCCTCTTTTGTCTCCATTTTCCATCAGTATTAAAATCAGAGTATGAATTGAGGACAGAGAAGGGGAAGTCAATTCCCCGGCATGTGGCCCCATGAGAAGCCCTGGCTGGAGCTTAACGTGCGAAGGGCCCGGGGCTATAGCACACCACTGGGCCTGGGTTCATCAGGGAATGCTGACTGTTCTTCCCCCTCCATCTCTCAAAGACAGGTCCCAGTCTAGTCCTTACTCATCGTGAGAACTACTGGAATTATTTTAGGCTTTGAGAGTTTGCCAAGATCTTAAAATTAAGTGTAAGATTTATATTTTCTCTGAACAAATATGATGCGACTAAAGATTTGCTTCTCACCTTCTTCCCATCACTCCCCAAGGTTCGGAAAGAGCTCCTGCTGCCCTGAGGGGGACATGCCTGTGACAATTGTTGGCTGCAGCAGGCATGGGTTCAGGTGGCACCATCTTTTCCTTAGTCCTCTTTGCGACAAAGTGAAGCAGGTGTGTAGAGTAAACCGTATTGTCCGGAGGTGATGACTTAGGATATGTATATACTCTCCCTTCCAGGGCAGGACTGGAATACCCTGAAACTGGGGGAATAGTATCTTAAGTATCCGCCCCTCCAGCCGTGGGAACCACTAGTGTACCTTCTGAGCAGATTTCTTAACTTCTCTGTGCCATGGCTTCTTCTAGAGTTAAAAAACGTCTGCCTACTGTTGTGATGATTTAATGAGATAAAAAAAAATTAAGTGCTGAGACTAGAGCCTGGCATTTGGCAGAGGCCCCAGAAATTCCACTACTTTTAGCAAAAGGAATTATGCTTCCTCTATTTTATTAGGAGTAGGAATTTTGTTTAAGTTTATACATTTCCCTCACTTTGAGACTGAGGGAATTTCTGACTGACAAATTTTATTTTCTCAAGAGTTTAGAGGCAACAGTGTGAGCTGGTTCCAGGCCGGGACAACTGTGGTAAAACTGGGAATCGAAGTAGAAGGAAGGTCCCAGGACTGGGTGCCAAGAGGCGTGATAGAATGAGCTAAGCGAGACCTGCAGCAGGTTCCCAGACTATTTTAGGATAGTGATCGTGGATTGGGGTCTATTCCACAGGATTTTTCTCTTGGTCACACTGAGAGAAAGTTATGAAGAAGGTAGACAGTGGGGCTCTTCCAGGATCCAAAGTTTAGCAAAATAACTACAAAGGACATCGAGTGGGGCAAGGGTATTGATCTTAATTATGAGGAGGCAATGGTAATGCTTGATTTAATGAAGATAATGAAGAAAACAAACAGTAGATGGCCTGAACAAGTAGGATATAAGTTTTAGGTTTGGTGGGCTGAAAATTGTGATGAGGTGGAAGAATGGTTTCAGTCAGCTTCCATAAGTAGGTGGACACCTGCTTGTGGTTCAACTTGGCTATGGGACTTCATCTTGGGACCAAAGCTGTCCCTGGTGACAGAATAGGCCACGAGATGGGAGGGCAACCTCTACAGAGTGGGAGCCAAGGTGCCTGGAGATGGAGCTTCAGGCATGAGGGGCCAGGGAGCACGTGCATCCTGTAGATGGTGAAGGACCAAGAATGACAACTGGATCTGGGATGAAGAGGATGCAGTGAGCAGGTGCTGGGGCTTCACCATGTGGGGGTGGGGTAGGATGACAATGAATGACAACAGTGAGGATGGGGAAGGCAGGGCTTTGGAGGGTCTGTAGGCAGGAGCTTTAAGGGGCAGAGGTCTCCACAAGATAGAGAGAGAGGGGTGGCAGTTAACACAGACTTTTGACGTTTACATCTATTACATACATGAGTGGCCTTTAGAAACACACCTTTCCTCTTTCTCCCCAAAACCATATGACAAAACCAGCTTCATGGACAAGGCAGAGTCCTTTATTTCTGTCACTTTCTTACATATTCCCAACCTAGGTCAATCTCACCCAGCTCAGCCAGATGGCTTGCACCCACCCCAGCTGACTTCCAGCATTAGCAAGTAAGAGGGAAAACGGGTTGCTGAGGGGAGCTCAGCTATCCTCTCTCCCGCTGCTTCCCTCCTCTCTGCCTTCCTTGTGGGCCTCCGACAACATGTTTATCTTCTTCATATTTCAAGTTTGATGGTAATTTCAGGAAACACTTTTCATTCATAAAATGCAAATGTATTCAACATGCTCACTCACTAATATAATTTTCCCATTGATGTTTATACAGTCTGAAAATTCTTGCAAGTCTAAAAAAAACCTCCGGAACATTCATTTTAATTTTTCCTAAGCAATGCTAATGAAGTCCTTGAATAGAATGGAGCTTTATGACCTTTTTAATTGATTGTTTGGACATAAATTATTTCCAATTTCCAAAGGATCAGAGTTTTCTCAGCTCAAAATTCAACTTCAAGTAGAAGTGAGTGAGTGTGTGCTTTTTAAAGGGTTCTGAGTCCCTTTGATGCTAAAATGGGGCTTGAACTGCAAAGTATGGCTTACCAAGTCCACCAAAGACAGCCTTCACCACCGGGAAGGTTTTCAGAAGCCCAGAGTCCAGTCCTCACAGCTGCCATCATGTCACACTGAGGCTGGATGGTGTCACTA
Source organism: Homo sapiens (assembly GCF_000001405.40). Lineage (NCBI taxonomy): Eukaryota > Metazoa > Chordata > Mammalia > Primates > Hominidae > Homo > Homo sapiens. The sequence goes on from NT_187581.1 coordinate 11,644, forward strand.
TCGGGGGCTGGGGATGGGCACCCTGGCCAGGGTCAATAATATTCAGGCTGTCAATTAAGAGATGCTTTGTCAATTTCCTGACCTGAGTAAAGCCATGAACTGAAGGCTGCTGGCAGGAGGGAACAGTGTTGGTTTTCTGACCTTTGTGAGTTCTGTGTCTTGAACATGGTGATTGTAACGACTCCCACAACTCCGTGCGCATCTGTAATGTGTAGGCCACTGAGCAAGTATTTTCCAGCACTTCACATTTAACGCTGACATGACCTGCTAAGGTAGCTATTATCATTATGTCCATTTAAAAATACAGGTGTCAAGGTCCAGAGAGACCCCGGGACTTGGGCCTGGGCCTTCAGCCTTCAAACCACTTCGTTTGGTTATTATCATTGATGTTCTTGTCATTCAATCTGTGGGTGTGATCCCAAACAAAACTGACCGGTAGGGAGAGTTTGAGGAGAGGAAAGCCCTCTGCCCCATGCACCTGTGTCCTGGCGGGTCAGCTGGGTTTTTCCTTCTGAAGGGAGAGGCAGCCTCCTGGGGGCCGCGGTTCTCACTTTGTCACTCCCAGGGCAGGGCAGGCTGCACATCAGACAGCATGCCTGTGGTCGACCAGAAGTCTGTTAGTCACCTCCTTCGTTGGTGCTAGTCGGTTGATTCCTCCAAGGCTGAAATAAGTTCTTGAGACCAGCATTTGATAAAAATGTTCACTCTGGCACTTTCCACAGTATCAGCAGGACGCTGTGTTCGGCTCCACATCGGCTTAATGACGGGGCCTGCGGGTGCCTTGAGGAAAAGGTACCTCTTCCCAAAATGAGTTCACCCGAGTCCAGGGGCTCCCAAGGTGGACCAGATTGCTCACCGGAGTGGGTCCCTCAGGACCCCAGCATGTGCCCCCCTTCCTCCTGCATCTCAGACTGCCAGCCCTCTTCCTGTCAACTTTGAGAGGGTTCCTGGAGTCCAGCCTTAGTGGGAAAAAGGCTGCCATGCTGCAGGAAGGTGGCTTGCAGGTCTTCCCCCCACCTGTGCCTGGACAGATGGCACCTGCTTCCCACCCCCTACCCTGGTTCTTTCCCACTGTGCTCCTCCTCACAGCATGGACATCGTCAGGGGAGCCCTCTGCGTTTTTCTCCACCCATTTACGCCACTGCCTCACTGATCTTCAGATTATTCCTGAGATCCCAGCCTTTCCCATGCCTGTCTCCAGATCTGCAGCTTTCAGCTGCACCAAGGCTAAAGGACATGGCATACAGACCGTACTCAGGAGCAGCGGATGGCAGATTTTCAGCATAGTCACCAAACTCAGCTCCATTGGCCACAAACAGGCATTTGGTCTTCAACCTGAGAAGAAAAGTAAATATCTCCATGCGTTGGTTCTTGAATTCAACACTCACCTCTTCCAAAGTGATGTTCCTATTTTTCATGTCACACCTCTGAACAAAAATCCTCAGTTACGTTAAGAAATATATGAAGTAGCTACTATATCTGATGTAGCTCAGAGAGGGGACCACTGACGGGCAGGTGCTCTGACCAGCCAAGGGTTGCTGTCCAGCCAAAACTGGGGCCTCGAAAGGCTTGCAGAGGACCAGCAGCTCCCAGCATCACTAGCTCAGCAGATGCTCACAAAAGGAACAGATGGTCATCCTTCCTCTTGTGATTTTGATTAGGAGAAAAATATACAGACAGTCTCCTCCATGTAGTTTACTTAAGGAGCCTTGGGTTTGCTGGGTTTGCTGATGGGGAAGGTGGCATGTGTGTCGTAGACGTTGAGATAGTGGCATCGAAGGAAGGGACTATTCCAAGTGGCTTTGAGCCTCAGCATTTTTACCACATATGTCTCATGGAATACAACACAGGAAAAAAAGAACTGAAATCAGATTTTCACCTGTAGTCAAGAATCATATTTTTTCCTAATTCTGGTATTGTTATTTAAGGTTGCCGTGTGTGACTGTTTTGTGACTGATTGTGATAAGAAGAAAATGATCAATTAAAGTGGTGTCATTGAGAACCAGCATTCTCAGCATAAGATAAAGAAGAATCAGATGTAAGACTGATGAAGTGAGGTAAAAACCCTGTAATTTATAAATGCATATTATCTATCTCCATCTACTGGAAGCTAGAAACAATGGACAATTCAGTAGTGATGAAAACCTGTGACATCCAAATTGTGATCATTATAAATCATTTATCATCAAACGGACCCAGGGCTCCTTGGAAAAATGGCTGATTGTAGGTCTCAGGCAGGGAATGTACAATTTCAGCCTGAAACATTTTGTCCTACTAGAAAGCAAGGAAGAGATTACAGAATAATAAGATCGTGTCAGAAAGGCTCAGGAGGCAACATTAGAGGCTCCCACCAGCTGAAGATGGGACAATTTAAACATCATTAAATTTAATAACCATAATGAATGAAACCCAGCAAATATATTCGACTTCGTTATTTTGTAATGAAATGTTAAAAAGAATATTAGGAAAACTAATTGTTGCCAGTGGAGGATGTTTGTGAACAAACAAAATAATTTCATTATTTTGAAAACTAGCACTAACCAAGCATTTATTTTTTTTCTGTATAAACCATTGTATAAAATGGTTAAATATAATATATGATAGTTATGGCATAATTTAATGTAATAGATAATGAGGACTTTTAGAAACCTTCCTAACAGTGTTATTGTTGGTAGATTATGAAGGAATGATATATGTAGAATATTACTATTTTGCAACTTCCTAATAAATTAGTGGAACTAGGTAACAGCTGGTCAGATCCCAAATCAAGGACAGTCAGACATTTTGTGCTACATGACTGATGTACTTAGCATTGCCTGTAAAGTAGGGTTACTGAAAACTGAATCTTATTTTTCAAGCCTTGAGTTATATCTACTAATATCTTCAAAATACAGAGATGGAGAAATATATTTCAAAAACAGACCATCAGGAAACACTCAAGAAAATCTACACTTTGAGAAACTGCAGGACAAATTTGCAGGTTTCTTCTACAAATAAATTGAGGGGATTAGAGAGAGAATTTGAGAAGATTAAAGAGGTGGGCCAGGCGCAGTGGCTCATGCCTGTAATCCCAGCACTTTGGGAGGCCGAGGCGGGCAGATCTCGAGGTCAGGAGATCGAGACCATCCTGGCTAACACGGTGAAACCCTCTACTAAAAAAAAAAATACAAAAAATTAGCCAGGCGTGGTGGCGGGCGCCTGTAGTCCCAGCTACTCGGGAGGCTGAGGCAGGAGAATGGCGTCAACTCAGGAGGTGGAGCTTGCAGTGAGCAGAGATGGTGCCACTGCACTCCAGCCTGGGTGACAGAGCGAGACTCCGTCTCAAAAAAAAAAAAAAAAAAAAAAAAGAGGTTATGTGGAAAATATGAAACTGATGAGTTAATTGATGATTTCAATAAATTACTGTTAACAATTTCAGGTGTGGTAATGGTACTGTAGTTATGTTTGTAAGACAGGCTCTTGCTAACATTTTTGGAAAAATTGGGAAAGCGTGAATATGGATAGTAAGTAGACATCAGTGTTAAGCTTCTTAAATGGAACCACTGAAGTGTGAGTATGTATTGTAACACTTGTGTTTAGGAGACAGATGCTGGCACATTGAGGGCCAACTTGTCCTGATGTGTGTTCTTGATTTTCACATACTTTAGATACATGATTATATGCATGTGTATGTTTGTTTTTTTAATAATAATTGAAAGAAGATCTTTCTATCTTTTAGAGCTATATAACAAAAATACTTCCAAATAAAATGGTGTGATTTGCTTCAAAATGATCGATATATTGTAGAACATGATACTAATAAACTATATACTAAGTGGCTTTCAATTACAAGGAAGCAGGTCAAAGTGCAACCTGATGAATTTTTAATTACAACGATATTTCTGTCCAGAATTCTTGTTAGCCCTGGAAGAGTGGCCTCAAATCATGGCCGCAGGCAACTATGAGAGCTCGAAAGGACCACGGCACTGAGCCACCACTTCCCAAGCTGGACAATCAGTAGAGTGGGAGCGTGGTGAGCACCGGGCTTTTATCTCGCTCCCAGCCTAGGGCTGAGCATTGTGGATCACCACCTGGGAGGCAGGAGAGCGACGGAATCTTTAGGAGAGAGGCCACTCACCTGGCTCCAATCAGGGGACTGTCAAGGGCAGAAGTCCCCGATGCTCAGCCCTCCAGTGATGTGTGCAGGGTGCCTGCTCTGCAAGGTGCACTCATAACAGGATTTTTTCATTTTTTGAACTTTGTATGATGTAAGATTTTAAAAATACACACAAAAAGAGGGTGAACAGAACAGTGAATCTTCTTGTACTTATCACAGAGCTTCAACAGTTTATCCAAATTCTCCATATTTGCCAATTAAATTGTCAATTAAATTTGCCAAATTTAATTGACATCTCCACTTTTCTTTTTCTGCGGTATTTGAAAGCAAATCCCCAAACATTCTATCATTTGTTCTGTAAGTACATCACCAGGTATCTCTAACTAATCATAATATTTCCCCATAAACTCCTTTCCATTGTAACACTTCAATTTTTAATTATAAATTTATAATTATCAACTTTAATTCCTAAATGAACATTTTAATTATAAATATATAATCTGATACCAGCCCCTGTTCAAATTTCCCTGATTGTCTCAGAGGTGCCTTTCTGCAGTTGGTTTCTTAGCAGCGCCCAAAGCCCACCAACTGCATTTGACCATCTACCTCTTCAATCTCTCTCCCTCTGAGACGGTCCCTGACTCCTCTCTGTTTTTTTCTTTGTTGCTGCTTTATTGGAGAAATGCATCATTTTCCATGTAGAAGGTCTCACACTCTGGATTTGGTGGTTTGCTTTGCTGTGTAGTGTACCAACTCGTGTTTTCAGCCCTGCAGTTATTATAATCGGATCATTGGAGCTAGACCGGCTCTACTCAGTCTCCATTTTCGAGGGCAGGGATGCCATCGTGGTGGTGCTGGGACCTTCCTCTCTCATCACACAGTAAGCCAGCTGCTGTCTGCTTGTATCACTTTCAGTGACTCAAAGACTGATTCCTTTAAAAAAATAAAAAAAAAGATCAGTGTGCTCCGTGTTTCTCTGCTCTCTCCATTAAAAAATTCCATCGTTTTTTCCACTAGTGGTTTTAACATCCATCAATGGGTATTATTTTATTTGAAGTTTCAAAATGTTGATTTTCCAATTCTATACTTTACTTCTGTATTCATAGATTGTATTTCTTTAGAAAGAATAGCTTTGTATTGATACATAATAGTTGTACATATTTATGGGGTACATGTGATATTTTGATACACGCATACAATTTGCAGTGATCACACCAGGGTAAATGGGATCTCCATCATTTTAAACATTTATCCTTTCTTGTTGGAAACATCCCAAATATTCTCTTCTAGCTATTTTTGAAAAGTACAGTAAATTATTGTTAACCATAGTTGCCCTATTGTGCTGTGAAACACTAGAACCTAATCCTTCTATCTAGCTATAATTTTGTACTCATTAACCAACCTCTTTTCATCTCTCCCCCTTCCCCCACCACCCTTCCCGGTCTCTGGTACCCACTATTCTATTCTTCCACTCTCTACCTCCTTGAGATTGATGGGTTTAGTTCGTGGGTACAAGTGAGTACATGAAACATTTGTAAAAAGGAAAATTTTTCTTCAACTATGGCTAATTTGAAATACAAACTTGTAAAGTTTAAACTTGTAAAGCATAAATGTGTGTAATAAAGATTATTTTTAGTTTTCAAATTTTGTATTAATGTGTTCATTTTATAATGACTGGGTCCATCAAACACTTAAATAATTTATTAAGAATTCCTGGATTTGTATATTTGATAATTTGATGTGTTTCAATCTGTTGCAGGCATTATTCATCTTATGGTCAAATTGTTACATCTTAGGCCAGCGGTGCTTTCTTCAGCAAATGACTGTGTCTTTTTGTTTTCAAACATTTTATTTTGAGAAACGTTAAGCATATTTTGTGTCTTTTCTGACATGACACTAACAGGCTCATTCATCTTTATCCTTTCTGGCACAATAATAGCTTCCAGGCTTATCTTGTACATTCCTTGCTCAGACCTAGAAGCTGACATTTCCTGAAAGATTCCAGGTCCCTGTATAGTGGGAAGAAAAAGGCACAGGCCAGGTTCCAGATATGTGGAATGCATTATTCTATTTACTCTTTACAATAACCCTGAAATGTACCTATGATAATTATCTAACTTTCCTATAGATGAAAAATCTGAATTTCAATTTGACACAAATTGTTGTCAAGATCACATTGATATGTGACTATTCAAGGCAGTTTTACTCATCACAGCCAAACTTGGAAACAACCCAAATATCCATAAACTGGCAAATGGTGAAAAACGATATATTCGTACACCGATATACTGCTTGGTAATAAAAAAAGGAACACACCGATACACAAAATGACATGGATGAATCCCAAAAACAGTATGTTGGGATGTATGAACTAATCAATTCATACTGATTTGTTTGTGTAAAATTTTAGGGTTTGAAAAACTCATCTACAATTACCTGGAGCATGAATAGGAATAGGGAGAAATGGGCTGCAAAGGGCATGAGGAACTTTTCAGGGTGAGGAGAAGGCTCTGTACCGGGTGGTGGTCACACAGGTGTACGTTTATCAAACCACGTCACAGTGCATGGCTGTGCATAATCAGACGAAAGTTAGAACTAACTCAGGTTGATTTTAAAAAGCCAACCAAGGGTGTGCCCTAATGATAGCTGCAGTGGACCGTGGGGTCTTCTCTGTAGGGGCCTCTGAGACCCTTACAGTACGACGCCAGAGCTGTTTACCTGAAGGAGAGGAGAGGTGGGGATTTACACACCAGCTGCTGTCTCCCCCGGCTGAGGGTTGCCCCTGCAGGTGTCAGATTCCCTGTGCTTTTGAGCTGAATCTGCCTGGTTTACCATCAGGCCTGGCAAACCTGTGGTTTGGCCCTGAGCCTCTCCCAGCCTGTAACACAGCACACAGATGCAGCGAGTCATACTTAGTGATAACAACATCGATGACACGGGCAGTAGCAATGACTGATGGGGTTGGCTCCTCCTGCCCTCTGCAGAAGCTGCTCTTTCTGGGGACAGCATGATGGGGCGCTGTCGGGTGAGGTTAATATTTTCAAACCCATACACCAAGTTTTCATCTTTTCCTGTCTTCACGTGTGACTTAGGTGAATTGCCCAAGTCTTCTGAAACAGGGTTGTCAGATGAGAAATGATATTTAAACATATCTTAACAGCACTTGCTAAAAATTAGTATTGTTCTTGTTTCGAAATATCTGCATTAGGAAGATTTGAGAGGCAGCTTCTATCTCAAAATATAATTAAAGCTAATTTTGAATTGACTTGCTATTTGATTTCCCATTAATATTCTCAGAGTAACAAGTTCATAGACACCCAAGGTCCATTAACCTGCACCCATTACCGGCTGCTCACAGGCACCTCACCATTACCTGGAGGGTGTGGCTTGAATTTGCCCTGCTGGATCCCAGGGTCACTATGATTTCTTCCCTCAGGTTTCTTCATTGTGTTTTAAAAAAAGCCTATACTATGCATGTGCTATTTTGTTTCTGAATTGCTTTATGGGATTAGTTAACACTGCTTGTTTAGGAAGCAGCTTAGCTGGCTCTCCTGCCGAGTGTCACAAGGTATTAAGAAAGGTCATGTTCCCATTCTGCTGCAATGGTCCGTGTGTTACATCTGAATACTTATAAGCCTTACGGTATAACAGTGTGATTCTTGCTGTAAGCGTCACATGTACTTTAAAGAAATTAAGCAGAAAAATAATCCTTTTAAAAATCACATTTTACTATTGAAGGTGGGTGCCACCTTTTAAGAGAAATGTAAAAAACATAAAATATTTGGCTGAGAGTGACCAGGCTGTGGGATGTGAATGCCGTGTCAAAGCTGAGGCTGTGAGGGAAACGCCGACTGTAAAGACAGCTTAGAACTCCGAGGGTCACACCTGTGCTGGCTGGTCCGAGAGGCTTGGCTCCTGGGCTCAGGAGAATCTTGTCCCCACTGGCCGTGGCTTGAAGGATATCGGGACACTCTGGGATGAGGAATTGAGGCCCAGCAGCTGTAGCCAAACTTTCTGGGTCTAAATGCCAACCCCTTGCTTTCAGGCCTCCAGCCCTGCCTGGTTCCAGCCTCTGCATCCACTCTCCTTCCCAAGACTCTCAGAAGGACTCCAGGTGGGACTCCAGGGGACTTCAGATCCACCCTTCCCATGGTTCCTGGCCTGTTCCAGCCTAGTCTGAGGCAGAGAGGAGGGTTAATTTTATTGAAATAATTTGTTTACTTTTCTGTAACAATCTTGGCTCACTGCAACCTCTGCCTCTGGGTTCAAGCGATTCTCCTGCCTCAGTGTCCTGAATTGGAATTATAGGTGCCCAACACCAAGCCTGGCTAATTTTTGTATTTGTAGTAGAGACAGGGTTTCACTATGTTGGCCAGGTTGGTCTCAAACTCCTGACCTCAGGTGATCCTCCCGCCTTGGCCTCCCAAAGTGCTGGGATTACAGGAGTGAGCCACCGTGCCTGGCCAGCCAAGCTTTCTTACCTCCGAAGGTGCTTTATTCCTATCATAAACATGGAGAGTGGGGTCTTCAGAATCCAGGCCTCCCTTTCCCATCAGCTGCTACAGTAACTGGTAATTAGGCTCCTTACTCCCTAATCACTCTCTGCTCATCTGGGTTTCTGAGGTGCAGCTCAGGGTGGAATCAGCACGGCTTTGATGTTATGAATCTGGCCTGAAGTCATATCCTTGTCATTGTACTTTTTGGAGGAAAAGATAGTTCATTTCTCCAGGGCACACGTCAATTGCCTTTCCTGCCAGGTGAGACCTACTGCTTGAAGGTGGGAGCAGCTCTGTTTACCTGGAGGAGGCAGGGCTGGTGTGCTCAGTCCCTCTGAAGTGTCTCATGGGCCATTAGCACCATGCACTGCTCGCAGCCAACTCATCAGAATGAGTGGTTATTACAAAAGTGTTTTCATAATTAAGTAACACGATAACTCACTGAAAATGGTAGATGTTTGGAGAAGTGCTACATGGTGGCCCTATGGGGATGGGCAGCCCCTGCCAGTCTCCACTGCAAATGAGCCACGTGATCACCGGGGTTCAGGGCTATCCAGGGGGTGCCACTTGGCCCCCGTTGCCAGCAGCTCTGGCACAGGGGTCTAGGAAAGGCTCTGCCCAAGCCCAGCAGCACGGGTTCCTCTCTCCAAGGCTGTCCAGTAGAACTGTTGTTCGCCAGGCTGTCGTCAGCAGAGGCAGAGCCGCATCCTCAACAAGTAGACAGGATCTCTAGGAGGCTTCATCATAAACTGAGTCTGGAGAGCAGAGGGGAAAAATCCTAACCGGGGCAGGCATGATTCCAGATTCCTGCTGAAATAAACAGGAAGCCCAGCAATTCACACTCTCAGTGATGCTCCCTGGCCTCTCCTGTGTTGTCTTTCTGGGGACCCGAATTTGCTCTAGCTGATGTGTGACATTTGGGTCTCTCATTTATTTTCCCCCAGTGTAGAAGATAAAACAATGGGATATATTCATTGCAAAAATTATTATAATGTGGCATTGGTGATGTATATTATTTAGAAATTGTCATCATTGGATTTCATTTAAGTACAAACTAAAATCTGCTGCTTTGGGAAGCATAGCACTGATGGTGGGTTCCCCATCCTGGATCAGGGTAGGTGGGGCAGGGAAATGTCTCCAGCCCACAGACCCATCTGGCAGCTCAGATACAGGCATGGCGCTCTTCTGTCCACCCGTTCCTTTCTCTGACTGTTTCCTGGGCCCAGGAGGCTGACAGAGGGCACAGGTTGGGGTGGAGGACATGCCTTCCAGAGGAGAACTGACATGTACATATCCCCTTGAAGCCAGCAGCCATGCAGAGGGACGTGGTTGCTGCCATCGCCCCCTCTGAATGCAGAACTTGACTGACCCGGGTGCTGGGTGGAGGGGCCTGGTTGTCTGCCATCTGCCCCTGCAGAGACAGGGAATGCGTGGAGAGGCAGCCCTCCCCCTCTGCAGCTCCCAGGACAGATCCCGGGTGTGCCCTCACCCTCCTGCCCAGCCTGGTCTCCAGTTTAGAGATAGGAGTATCACAGCTGCCTCTTGTCCCCACGACTTTAACATCCTTCCCAGTGCCTGAGCACATTTACAGGAGGAGTATTATTATCTTCTAGAGGAGGAGTATTATCTTCTGGAGGAGGAGTATTATCTTGTAGAGGAGGAGTATTATCTTCTGGAGGAGGAGTATTATCATCTTGTAGAGGAGGAGTATTATCTTCTGGAGGAGGAGTATTATCTTCTGGAGGGGGAGTATTATCTTCTGGAGGAGGAGTATTATCTTCTGGAGGAGGAGTATTATCATCTTCTGGAGGAGGAGTATTATCTTCTGGAGGAGGAGTATTATCATCTTCTGGAGGAGGAGTATTATCTTCTGGAGGGGGAGTATTATCCTCTGGAGGGGGAGTATTATCTTCTGGAGGGGGAGTATTATCTTCTGGAGGGGGAGTATTATCTTCTGGAGGAGGAGAGGGGGAGTATTATCTTCTGGAGGGGGAGTATTATCTTCTGGAGGAGGAGTATTATCTTCCTTCTGGAGGGGGAGTATTATCTTCCGGAGGGGGAGTATTATCTTCTAGAGGGGGAGTATTATCTTCCGGAGGGGGAGTATTATCTTCTTTCTGGAGGAGGAGTATTGTCTTCTGGAGGGGGAGTATTGTCTTCTGGAGAGAAATGAAAGGCACAGGCTGTTTGTCTGAATATTACAGTCATCTGTCACTTATGATGTTTCCCTCAATGGTGGATGGGATACGTGAGGGTGGTCCTATAAGATTTAATACCATCTTTTTTTTTTAACAATACCTCTTCTATGTTTATTTTTTATTTTTATTTTTTATTTTTTTGGGAGACAGAGTCTTGGTCTGTCACCCAAGCTGGAGTGGAGTGGCGTGATATCAGCTCACTGCAACCTCTACCTCCCAGATTCAAGCAATTCTCCTGCATCAGCCTCCCAAGTAGCTGGGACTACAGGCGCCTGCCACCACACCCAGCTAATTTTTTTGTATTTTTAGTAGAAACAGGGTTTCACCATGTTGGCCAGGCTGGTCTTGAACTCCTGACCTCAAGAGATCCACCCACCATGGCCTCCCAAAGTGCTGGGATTACAGGCATGAGCCACCACACCCGGCCCCCGCTCTATGTTTAGATACACAAATACTTAGCATTGTGTTACAGCTGCCTGCAGTATTCAGCACAGTCATGTGCTGTGCAGGCCTGTAGCCTAGGAACTGTAGGCCACACTACGCAGCCTAGGTGTGGAGGCTATGCCATCCAGGTGTGTATATGTATACTTTACGGTGTTCTCACAACCATGAAGTCACCTGTCTCTGCATTCTGCAGAATGCACCCCCGTTGTAAAGCGACGCGTGAGTGAATTTGTCTTTTTGTTGTAAATTCCATCTGTGCTCCTGAAAGCTCTACCCTGGAAGCTCTGTCTCCTTCAGGTATCCATCAGGTTATCTTAGAACTTCCAGCTGGAGGGATCTGTGTTTGTCTCTCCCTGTCGGCATCAGGGGAGTGCAGGCTGAAGGATGCATAGGGCTGGGATCCTTTGTGAAGTCTCTCCACGGGGCTGTGGGGGAGGATCCAGTAACCTTGAAGACAGGCTGCATGCCTACAGAGGACCCCTCTGTTGATACCATCTCCACTGATACCATCCCGATGGTGTTTTGTACCAGAAATGTAGAAATATACAAATCCCTTGTTTTTACCTATTCTTCTTCCTCGTAAGTTCTCTAAAGAAAATATCTGCATGGGTTCACAGGAGCAAGAAAAAAAAGTAACATTTTATTCTTAGCTGGAGCCTTTCTTGCAAGCCTGAATTCAGAAGTATGGAATGGAATACATAGGGAATTTTTTTTCTCTACTGAGGGGACTTAGACTAGAGCCAGAGGCTATACAACTTTCCTTTCTCCATTTGAACACTGGAACCTCAGATCTTGCTATCAGACAGGCTCTCTAGTTATGTACTTATTTAGATTTTTTTCTTTTAAAAAAATTTGTCTTGATTGTACTCTCAGAATCAGAGAATCATAAGGTACTTTAGGATCTTTCAGAATGGAATGGTAATTAGGACATTAGCTTCATATTGCAAATACCTGGAGAGCTAAAATAAAACAAAAACCAGTGAGGCCCAATCCCATGCTTGGACATTCTGTTTAACTTGCCTGGAGTATAGTCTGCCCCCAGCCTCGGTGATGCCATTTTGAAGCCAAACGTGAGAAGCTTCTAGATTACCAAAGTATCTTAACCTTAGTGACATCAGAAACTCCCATGAAACTTTTCAACTCTCCTACCGCCCGGGACCGCTTCAGGTCCATCAAGCCCTGATTTCTGGTGGTGAGGCCAGGATACCTGTGTATTATCAATAATTTCACTGGTGAATTTGATGCAACCCCAGGTGAAGACCCATTGATTTAAGCCAAAAGTCTTTATTTAAGTGTAAACTGAACCAGGTAAAGTGTGTTGTGCAATATTTATTATGCGACAGCCGAATGGACCGGAATTTTCCAGCCACATGCCTCAGAGGTGCTGTGGCTGAAAGGGAACGGCCACATAACTGGGCAGCTGTGGAGAGGCGAGCGGGGGGCAGGCTGCTGTGTCAGTGCGGGGCCTCCGCGGCTGGGCTTAATCACTGTGTGGCCAGCTGACGCCCTCTGGCTTTTCTTTTTTTAATTAAATAGATAAATTCTGTGTTTCACTTAAGGCGTATTGTTTACCCTGCATGGGTCTAAAGAGCAGGGGCTAGAGAGGCCATGCGGTCTATTTAGCCAAGGCTCCAGCAAATGGTTCTCTGGAGCAACAATGGCAAACGGAGGGACTAGTCCACTGTGATGAGCAAGTTTCATGTGACAGTGTTGGAGAGTTAAACTTCAGAACGAGGACTTTCTCATGGCACAGGAAACTATAGTCAAAGGCCATAAGGATGGTGTTGGATGGGGGTGTGGACCACGTGGATGGAGGAACGCTGTGGTCTGTACGAACAAACTCTTTTTTTTTAGACAGAGTCTCACTCTGTTGCCCAGGCTGGAGTGCAATGGCACAGTCTCAGCTCACTGCAACCTCCACCTCCTGGGTTCAAGCAATTCTCCCGCCTCAGCCTCCCTAGTAGCATGGACTACAGGCACGTGCCACCAAACCTGGCTAATTTTTTTGTATTTTTAGTAGAGGCGGGGTTTCACCATGTTAGCCAGGATGGTCTCGATCTCCTGACCTCGTGATCTGCCCGCCTTGGCCTCCCAAAATTCTGGGGTTGCAGGTGTGAGCCATTGCGCCCGGCCATGAACAAACTCTTAGGGGAGAGGAACAGAGGGGGAGCGAAGGAGGGAGGATGGAACCTGCCTGCCCTGGCCGGCCAGCTCCTGGAGGCTGCACGGAGGAGCCCAGCAGGAGCTGGAGACTGATGTGAAGACTGCAAGCCTGGTAGAAATGCCAAGCCTAAGCTGTATCCATAAATAATAATGACTTTATTTTCCCCCATTGCTAATTAGAAACAATAATATACAAGGAAACAGAAGTTACTTAATGTATAATTATTCAGTCAGCAATTTTCAAATCATAAATATGGATTGCTGTGAGTTATTGCGTTGGAGTCTTCTGAAATAGAGCACAATATGCAAATGTGATTAACACAGCCATGCGCCCAGTCACTCTAAAAGTTGCTTTTCCTTTCCTTAATAAACTGATTGTTGCAGCCAGGTGTAGGTCGTTAGCATTGATAAGCAGAGGTCCCTTTCCACCCTGTTTCCTGCCTCTTTCCTCTCCTGCAGATGGAAAGAGTGAGATGGGCCAGCAGGTTCCTATAGGATGAGCCCTCGAGACCTGAGACCAATGCTGATCTGATAAATAATTGGCATTCTGTTTCAGGAGGCGGAGGGCTAATAAGCTTTTCCAAGGTAAAGTGTGGAGCTCTGCAGAGCATTCTGGGAGGACAGCACAGGTTCACATCCCACCCTCACTTCTCCTGGGTGATCCCAGCCCCCTGCTCATATCCCACCCCCGCCTCTCCTGGGTGATCCCAGCCCCTGCCCACCCACGTGGCAGCCTCACCCCAGCCCAGACCCATCTTCTGAGCTGCGGGCTCTTTATGTGACAGCCTCACCAGAATAACTCACTGCCATTCCAAACGTAAAGCACACAAATGCAAGCCTTGATCCACGTCCTCCTTCCCTCATCGATCTGTTCCTACTTCAGCCTTCATTATCTCCAAAAATCACACCAAGCCAGAAATGTAAGAACTGAAGCCAGAAATTGCTCATCAGAAATGTAAGAGTCACTTTGACGCCTCCTTTTCCTTTCTCCTCACTTCTAATCCATAAGCAATTTCTGTCATTTCCACCTCCAAAATAGACTCCCTTCCCTCTGTGCCTTCACAGCCACCGTCAGGACCTGAGCCACAGTCATCCTTCACGGCAGACCACAGCTCCCGCTGTGAGGCCTAGCCAAATCTAAGCATAGTTCCTTCACTGCTCCTCCTGATTCCAACCTTATCTTCCTCTAACTCATTCACCATAGAAAATCCAGTGTGATCTTTCAAAGTATACGTTAACTCGGGAGGCTGAGACAGGACGATCACTTGAGCCCCAGGAGGTCAACGCTGCAGTGAGCCATGATCCTGCCACTGCATTACAGCCTGGGTGATAGAAGGAGGCTTTGTCTCTCTCTCTCTATCTCTCTCTCTATATATATATAAATTTATATTTATATAAATATATATGTATGTATATATATTATGTGTGTATAATACACATATATACATACATATATATACGTATATTTTACACACAGATAGATAGATAGATACATAGATACCATTTACTTCTTTGCTGAAGACTCGTCAGTCTCTTCTTATCAACACGCTAAGCCCGGAGCCCCAACCCGGTCAACGTGGCCGTGTGGCGCGGCTGCCCCCCGCTGCTCTCTGCCAGCTGCTCTCTGCTGACCTCCCTCAGCCACCGTGGCCTGCTCTTGGTCTCTTGGATTGCAGTGCTTTCCTGCCTCAGGACTGAAACGTGCTGTCCACCCTGCTGGACACAGCCTGGGTCCCCACCTCCCGCTGGCTTTCCCGTCTCCTCTTTCAGAGCCCAGGTGCCTGTCACCTCGAGGGAGGCCACAGCGCAGGTCTCTGTGCCCTCTCCCACGGCGTCTAGACCTGGATTTTCCTGTCACCTCACAAATCACAACCATGGATTTCTCTTGTTTTCACTCATCATGTTTGTGAGTGAGCAGCTTTGCTGTGGAGTTGGGGAAAGAAGCTCTGACCAGGATGCAGGGCCGGGGTTGCTTCCCATGGAGCCGCCGCCTCTCCTTCCACCTCTGGGAAAGCCTCTGTGCCTCTTCTGACCCGGCACCCTTCCCTTATATGAGAGAATTGAGACAGGCAGCCTTCACGGGTCTGAATTCAGAATAATAAGAGATGTTTTCACTCCCAGCATCACTGTGTGGGCACCTGCTGTGTGTACAAAGGGCCCCATGGTGCCTCAGCAGTTACCTTGTAAAATGGGGACTTCGTGGGTGAAAATTTTAATCAAGAGGCCTATCCAAGTCTAAGTTTCTCTGCAGGGTCCAAGGGGCTGTCTGAAATTGCCCTCTGTGTCTGTGAGCATTTGGCTGACAGCAGCGAGTGGGAGGGAAGACAGCGCTGCGTGCACCAGCTGTCGGAAGCTGAAGCCCTGGGGAATGGTTGGATTCACTGAGTGGGCAGTGGGCGCTTGGAGACTGACATTTTTCAGGAGCTCAGTATGGAGTGCCTGCGTGATTTTCATGAGAATGGGCAGTACTAACTTCAGAGCAATTGGGGAGCCCAGTGTCACGGATTCCTCCCTCACAGACAGCTGCGGGCGAGAGGGACGCTGGCCCCTTATCCAGGGTGGCCCCAAGTGTCTGCACCAGGTCTGCGGTGGAAGCAGCTGCAGCAGGAATGAGAGAAACAGAAGACTTAGATGTGAGCCCTGAAATGTTAACTTTATTTCCTAAATGAGGTGATGCAAATAAGTGAGGGAGACAAAATGACCGACTGGAAGCAGCGAGCGACACCAGCAGCACTGCCTCCCCGCCGATGCTGGCAGGAGGCTGTGTCCAGATCACACTCTCTTTGGCCACTTCAGATGCAATTCAGTTACCAGTTCTCACAGTAATGAACCTGCCAGGCTGGAGAACCAGTCTAAATGCCCGTGTGCTTTTCAAGCTTCCTGGTTCTCCTCTTTGGCTTGAGGTACACGATTATAAAATAAGAGATATGGGAGCAACAAGACCATGTTTCCTACAGGTCCAGAATGGGAGAAGGCTGAGGCAGTGAGGACTCGAGAACATGGGCCAGTCAGCAAGTCAGGGCAGAGAAAGGGAAGGAAACAGGGCAGGAGGAAGGGAGGGAGGGGAAGAGAGGGATGCGGGTGGGGTGGGGGAAGGGGTTGGACAGGAAGCAAAAAAAAGAGGATGAGCTCAAGAGACGGGAGAAAGAAAAGGAGAGGGAGAGGAGAGAGACGTGGTGGAGGACATGTGAGAGGTGGGGTGGCTAAGAGGAGAAGGAGACGAGCTTTTGTCTGGGGCATGTGATTTGCATACCCTCAAATAAAAGTGGACCCAGGCAGATAAAATCAATTACAGCATATATGATACTGAGAAATTCACAATCTGTACACAAACACAGCAGCAATGCCATGAGCTCATTAGCAACCTGCAAATACAAAGAGAAATGCATGTTTGCGGCCGTCTATCCTCATTGTTTCATCCCCTGGCCCCCAGCTCCTACGGACCAAAGAATGTCATTTCCTTCTGATGAAAAGTTTTTCTCTGACCCTAGTGCTCTTCTCTATTTTCAATTTGAACAGAGTCTCCATTGCTGTACCTTACTGGGTTATACAATACCCTGTGAATGAAGCCTTTCAATCAACCTGCATGTCAGCGCATTGCATAGCTCCTCAGCCCCACAGGCTCCAGCCTGCTTGCTGCTGTGCGGTGACACAGCCTCCTCCAGCTCTGGCAGTTGTGCTGTGTCACATTCCTCTGAAGACCCGTGGCTAGTGTGCAGCAGACTTCTCTTTTGTCTGGAATCTCCTGCTCCTCACTAGAGGATGCTGGAAGGGCACTGGTGCCTGCAGGCTGTTGTCTGTTACTTGCTTAGAATGTCATTCCACCAGCCTTTGTTAAGGGAGTGAAGTCCGTGGAGGTACACGAAGACGAGGGAGGCTCATTCTTTGTGCTGATGTTGATCTCCACCTGACTCACGAAATAAGTGATTCACAGAAGACTATTTTTAATCTTTAACAAAATTTGAAATATTATAGATTCACAGGAAGTGGCAAAAATACAATCCAGAGAGTTTCCCTGTATTATTCAAAAGTTGGATTTTATACAACTACACACCATATAAAAAGCAAGAAATTAACATTGGAATGCTGTGCGTATAGTTCTCTGTTCATTTATCATATGTGTAGATTTGTGTAATTGCCACTGAATCAAGATGTAGACTCATTGCATCATCACTCTTTGTGATCTCTCTAGTCTTATTCATTTACGGTCATATTCAGCCTCCTGCCCCCCACAATCCCGAATCCTCATCAACATTAATTTTTTCTCCATATCTACACTTTTATAACTTCAAGAATGTTATAGAATCTCTATGTGACCCTTAAAGATTGGCTTTTATTCACTCAGAATTGTGCCCCTGAGAGGCATCCAACTGGTTGTATGTATCAAAACTTTCTTTTATTTGTAATTCTCAGTAATGGTACGGATGTACCACAATTTGTTTAACCATTATCTTATTGTAGGGTATTTTGATAGTTTTCAGTGTTTGACTATTGCAAATTAATATAATATAAGCACTTACATTCTGTGTTTTGTGTGAACATAGGTTTTCAATTCTCTCTCCAGGTGTGCAATTGCTGGATTATATGGTAAGTATATGTTAGTTTTTTTTAATTTCCAAACTGTACTCCACAGTACCATGTTATAACCCCACCAGCAATGTATGAGAAATCACATCCTCAGCAGCAAGTGTTATTGTAGCTAATTTTTGTTCTTTTGGTGGGTATTTAGTGATAGCTCATTATGGTCTGAATTTGCATTTCTCTGATGGCTAGTTATACTGAACATCTTTTCATGTACTTATTTTTGATTTGTACCTCTTCTTCAGTGAAATATCTATGTTTTCGCTAACTAGTTAATTGAGCTGTTTCTATTTTTATGGTGAGTTTAGAGAGTTCCTTATATACTCTGGATAGTAGTCCACTGTCATGTATGTGTTTTACACATGTTTTCTCACAACCTGTAGGTTGTATTTTATTTCTTTTGACACGGTCACTTGTAGATTAAAAGTTTTAAATATTGATAAAGTCCAATTTATTGATTTTTTTTAACAGATCAGGGTCCTGGTGCCATATCTAAGAATTCTTTACCAAGCTCTTGGTTTTAAAAATTTTCTTTGTTTTCTCCTAAAGTTTTTATAGTTTTTCAATTTACAATTCTATTCATGATCCATTTTCAGGTAATTTTTGTGTAAAGAGTGTGGTTTAGGTTGAGGTTCATTTTTCCCCGATGCTGTTTATTGGTCAAGCATCACTGGCTGGAAAGACCCTCCTCCCTCCAGTAGCTGCTTTTGCAACTTAGTAAAAACTCAAATGAGCATATCTGCATGGTTCCATTTCTGTTTCATTGATCTGTCTTTTGTCCAGTATCACCCTTTCTTGATTACTACAGACGAAGATGCTCCTCAGTTGTTGATGCGGTTTTCTCCCAATAACTCTAATATAAATTAAAAATATCGTAAGTTGACACCTAACCTATCAAACATCAGAGCTTAGCCTCGCCTACCTTAAACATACTCTGAAGACTTATGTTTGGGCAATATTATCTAACACAAAGCCTATTTCATAATAAAGTATTGAATATGTTATGCAATTTATTGAAAACCGTACTGAAAGGAAAAGCAAGATGGTTGCATGGGTTCTCACCATCAACATACACAGCTGGAAGCGTGCTGGGCCTGAAGAACGTTCAAAGCCCTGAACTAAAATTAACTGCTGGACGATGGTTGTGCTGCAGGGTCACCAACCTCTCTCTTTTCTGATATGGCTTGGGAATTGCTGCTGGAAGGCTCTAGGGCACCTACACTTATTGGTGGTTTAGCAGGAATCGTGTTCCTCAGGAAGATGTCACGAATCAGTATCGGTTGCTTACCCTCGTGATCTCGAGGCTGACTGGAGCTGAGGCTCCCTGCTGCTGCCCAGCCCTGTATCACAGGGCATATCACTAGCACAGGAAAAGATAGAAATTCAAAATTTGAAGTGCTGTTTCTACTGAATGCATATTGGTTTTGCACCATTGTAAAGCTGAAACATCCTAGGTCAAGCCATCATAAGTCGGGGATCATCTGTATATTGTAGGTGTTAACTTCAGATAGAATGACTCCTCCCACTGTTTTTCAAAAGTGTTTTAGCTATTCTAGTATTTTTTCATTTTCATATACATTTTATAACAATCTTTTCTATATCCACAAAATAGCTTGCTGAGAATTAGAATTTGTTGGCAATGACATTAAACTTGTATACCAATTTGAGGAGAATTGACATCTTTATTATGCTGAGTATTCCAATCCAGGAACACAGCATGTCTCCATGTGTTTAAACGTGTTTTAAATTTTTCATCAGTATGCTGTAGTTATCGTCATATGATTTGCATGTATGATTTATTAGATTTACATCTAGGTGTTTCATGTCTTTGGTGATTATAAGTGGTTTTGTATTTTAAATTTTTCTTTCCATGTGTGCATTGCTAGTATATAGAAATGCAATTGATTTTTGTATGGCTAACCTTGTAACCATGCTGAAATTACTTACTCGTTCTTGGGGGTTTGTTTTGTTTCGGGGTTTTAAATTCCTTGGGATTTTCTATTGAGGTGATCATGTGATTTGCAAGTAGAGAGAGTTTTATTTCCTCCTTTCTGATCTGTATGCCACTTATGGCTAGAAGTTCCAGTAGCAAGTGGAATGAGAATGGTGAGAGCAAACACCCTAACCTCGCTCTTGATGGGAGTGGGATGCATTCAGCATTCACTATTCAGTGTCCTGTCAGCTGTGGAATTTTGGAGATGATCTTTATCAAGTGATAGGAGTTGCCTTCTAGTTCCAGCTTTCTGAGTTTTTTTTTTTTTTACGAATTTAATTGGTACTGATTTTTGTCCAGTGTTTGACATAGTCATGTAATTGTGAGTTTTTTTTTTTTACGAATTTAATTGGTACTGATTTTTGTCCAGTGTTTGACATAGTCATGTAATTGCTCTTTAGTCTTGCATCCCATGGTTATTGTGTATAAATGAATAAGCAAACAAATAAATGGATTCTATTTTCTATTGTTTTGTTAAGGATTTTTACATCTTTATTTATGAGCTATTTTGTATTGTTTTATTTGATTTGGAGATCTGAGGCTTCAGAAAAGGAAATTAGGAATTAGGAAGAAGTGTTCCTTCACTTCTACTTTCTGGAGAAGACTACATGTAAGTGGTATTAATTCTTCTTTAAATGTTTGGTGAAATTCTTAAGTGAAGCCATTTGGGTCTGGAGATTTTGAGTTTTAAATTATGAACCCAGTTTCCTAAGTAATTTACGCACTTTCAAATATCTATTTCATGTTAGGGAAGCTTGCGCTTTATGAGGATTGATTCATTTGATCTAATTTTTCAATTTCTGTGTCTAGAGCTGTTCATGGTATTTCCTTATTCTCCTAATGCTCGCATGATCTACAGTGATATTCTCACAGGTAATTATTTTAATACATTACCGAACTGCCCCAAATCATAATAACACAAAAGCATTTGTCACGTCTTTCCCTTCTCTCCATGCTGACCCAGGCTCCTGACCAGAAGTAAATAATGGGAACCGCTGAGTGACCTGTGTGAGAGTCACAGGTGTCAGGAGCCCTCCCTGGTGCTGCCCTCTTCCCACGCTCCCAGTGACTGGGAAAGGATACAGGGGTGATGGCCAACACACAGAGCTGGATCTCCCTGTCAGGACTCAGTTGAGCTTCCAGGCTCCCACCCCAGAAAGTGCCTCCTCTTGTAAAGTCAGAGAAACTTGGTCCTGGCTGAATGAACTTCAGCCCTACATAGCCCTACATATCCCTACATGTATCAAAGCAGCTGTAGCAGCAAGCGCTCAAGGAGCTTAAGGAGAAGAAGCAAAGGACCAAGCAATGGAAATGGTAGAGAGAAGGAAAGGAGGGGGGTGAAGGCCTTGGAGGCTGACCTACAGGGATGTTGGATGCCATGGCATGATCAGCGACTGAGATCCTTCCTCCCATCCTGCCACACGGACGTGCCCTGGGGAACGGTGGGTGTGAGCAGCGAGGAGATGCTGTTGATGGAGGCACAGCTGTTCCACTCCTCCCTTCTCAACTTGCTACCTGTAAAGAGCATCTCCGAGTGGATGGATAGCTTTTGAATCCTCTTACAGTTTTTCTTACTGAATTTTCATTAATAGCCTCCTCATCTCCAGAAATGTCAACTTTTTCTTCTTTCTTGAGAATCTGGAACCTTCAGGATAGAGGCCTCCTCTCAGTGGCTGCTCAGGATAATGAATATTTTCTTGGATTGAGGAGGACAACCCAGCTGCTCTCTGGGAAGGTGGTTCTGAGAATCCTCAGGTGCAATGTTTATGATTAGGGGACTGGAGTAGCTGTGAGGGCCAAAATTAGGAAGACAGAGTGTGGACTTCAAAAACTTCTTGGCTGTAACTGGAGTGCTATTCTATTACCAGGTCAAGTCATTGTTCTCAAAATGTCAGATAGTAATTCCTTTTATGGCTGAATGGTATTCCATTGTTTGAATATACATTTGTTTATCCATGCGTTGTTGATGGACATTCAGGTCATTATAAATACAGCTTTTGTAATAGGCTGAAAAAGAGATGTTCATGTCTTAATCCCTGTGAATTAATCTGTGAATGCTATTTTATAATATATGGCAAAAGGGACACTGCAGGTGTGATAAATTCAAGAACTTTGAGATGTAGAGATTATTCTAGATTATACAAGTGTGCCCAGATAATCACAACAGTCCTTTCAAGAGGAAGACAGGAGGCACTGGAGATAGAGAGGAGGAGGTGATCTGATCGTGTTCTGTATGAATTCCATGTCCTTAATTTTCCTCCAGCTCTGAAATGTAGCTGTAGTCACAGCTCTGATTTCTGGTAGAGAATCCCATCAAACTGGAGATGGCCTCTCATTTAGGCAAAGGGAATGGCCCAGGAAGGACATTCTGATTGTCACTTTTCTCCAGTGACCTCTGCCAGCAGCTAGTTTGCCCCTAATTTACTTTTCAGATTGCATTCACTCTGGGATCCTTTCTCTAAGTTTGTTTAACTTGAGGTAAAATAGTTTTCACAATTCTAGTTAAAATTACTGTGGCTGTTTATAAAATGCATTATCCTTGCTTCACAAAGAACCTTGGCAATTTCTGCAAATCAGTGTCTTGTCTGATGCCATTAAGAAGAGTTCTGGGAAAAGCAATAAGAGGAAGATTGGATGACCTTATGTATTTCTATCCACCTACATCAGATGCCACAACATTTAGAGAAATTGAGCCTAGGGCTTTGCATAAATTACTAATGATATTTAATTAGCATATTTAATATGTGTATGTACCACACACCCAAATGTTTAACAGCATCTTAAAGAAATGAAAACAAAGCAGATAATAACTGATTATAATATGATTGATAAATAGAATCAGAGATAACTCGAGGAGTGAGTGTTACTAAGCACATCCACTGATGAGCATGTCACTGCTGTCACTGAGCATCAACTAGGTCTCCAGATTTGCTAATTAGAACCAAGGATGACTGGGCTCCATAAGGATAGCCATCTGTGGGGAGCTCACAACCAAGTGGAGGGAGCAGCTCTGGGCATTTCCACATGGAGCACCTGCGCTCCTCATCCACGACTAAGCAAGCAACAGATAAAAAAGAGCTTGGTTAGAATAGACCCTACACAAGCAGAATCAGATCAAGAACTTAAGGAGCCCAAAGTATATTAGGCACGAGAGTTCCTGAGGAAAACTTGAGAGATCATTAGTCCTGACAATAGCTTTGAATTAGCAATAAATAACTCATCAGGCTGGACAGCAAGATGGGGAAATGCTCTTCTACTGAGCACTCCCTCTGGAATCATGGCAAGGTGCAAACCCTTTCAGAAGTTAATAGCTTTTATTTATTAGATCAGTTCTAGGCATACGGAAAAATTGAGTGGGAAGTTTAGGGTTTCCATATACCTCCTTCACTATGCAAGATGGTTCAACCTTCCCTGACTATCTTGTATTAATGTGGTACATTTGTTACAAGCAATGAGCCAATGGTGACACGTTATTAACAAAAGCCCATGGTTTACACTAGGGGTCACTTTGTGTTATGCATTCTATGGGTTTTGACAAATACATAATGACATGTATCTGCTATTACATGGTCTTGGTACCTGTGAGGATCGGTTCCAAGTCCTCCCACTGATACCCAAACCATGTACACTCAAGCCTGCAGCTGGCCCCGGGAAACCGAGGGGTCTAGAAAGCCGGCCTTTCTTATGGGCAGGTGTTTCTGCCTGAGAACACTGTAAATTCAATCAGCATCTGGCTGTGGATGTGGAGCCCACAAATACAGAGGCCCACTATATTTGTTTTTAAAAAAATCCATGTATAAGGGGATCCACACAGGTCAAATCCACATGGTTCAAGGGTCAACGGATCATACAGAATAATCTCACTGCCCCCAAATCTCGTGTGCTCCACCTGGTCATCCCTCCTTCCTTCACCTCAAGCCCATGCAAAAACATTTTTAAACTACTGAAGGAAAATAATCCGTCAGCTAAGAATTCCATACCCTTGAAAACCAGCTTTCAAAAACAAAGATATTTCCTGATATATAAAAGCTAAAAGAATTCAATTCTAGGAGAACTTCATTGCAAGAAATATTAAAGTAAATTCTTCTGACAGAAGTAAAATGATAACAGCTGGAAATCTGGATCAACACAAGGGACTGAAGATTACAGGGAACTGTAAATATGTGGTTAAATACAAAACATCGTCAACTCACTTTAAAGGTTAGAGAGAAGAATATTGTCATATGGCTTTTATACTATTACTGAAGTAATATATTAATTGAGGGAAGACTGGGATTGGCTGAAAATGTATACTCTGGACCCTAAAGAAACCCTTGTTTCTAAGGATAAATCTGATGTGATTCCTATATATGTATGTACGTATTCCCTGTAAGCATTATGTCTTTCCCCCACCTCTGGCTACTTTTTTTTTTTTTTTTTTTTTTTTTTTTTGAGAAAGAGTCTTGCTCTCTCCGTCACCCAGGCTGGAGTGCAGTGGCACAATTTATTTACTGCAACATCCACCTCCTGGGTTCAAGCAATCCTCCCACCTCAGCCTCCTGAATAGCTGGGCTTACAAGTGTATGCCACCATGCCTGGATAATTTTTGTATTTTTAGTAGAGATGGGGCTTCACCATGTTGGCCAGGCTGGTCTCGAACTCTCGGCCTCAAGTGATCTGCCCGCCTCGGCCTCCCGAAATGCTGGGATTATAGGCATGAGCCACCATGCCTGGCTGCCATTATTTCTTTACAAGTATAGACCTCAGTGGGAGGCCACTGGAACTGCACCCAGCTGAAGGAGGCAGGAGGCCTCACTGTTCCATCCAGGCCTCCTTCGTACCCTCTGCAGGTGAATGTATTGGGCTTGGTCCACTTTTTGTGAATATGAGAAATAGGACTAATTCCTCAAAGCTCTAGATGACGTTTGACCTAATCTAAAATCCTCCAAGTCATATTAATGGGATAGATAATTCCGCATGTTCATTGTCCTTTGAGACCACTGCCAACAGATATATAAAAAGCATGAGAATTATATATATATTTGTCTTTTCTTCATTAATGGAGCAAGACATCCCTTAGCCTCAGAAATGTCTAAATCTACTACAGTACTGAAAAATGCTTATTTGTTGAATGTTTAAAATATATTACAGAACTAAATTGAAACATGACATGTTCTAGGGATTGTTTTGTTCACTATGTCTCTATGGGTCTCTTCCCCAGGCTTCATGGCTGTGGCTACAGACTTATGTCTCTTGAATGAAAGTGAATTGCTGAAGATGAGGTTGTTGACCTTCTTCTTAGAATAAGAATAAATAAATTTGATTTCTAGTATAAAGTTAACATGACATCCCTGATCTGTTTGGTCTGCTCAATGGGATTATTTGCTTTTAGAATTCTTGGCTTATTATTGAGTTTCTGACTCCCAGCATCGAGGGCCTCTTACTAAGCAAAACTTTTCTTCTCTAAAAAATTGAAAGTGACTGAGTTGCTCTTTAGAGAAAGGTCACTCTTCCATCCACTGGAACTCTTAGCACTGATTTTACCTCATAGAGACTGTACTTCATATGAGGAGGAGTTCAGCTGGGCCATGGACCTGCTGTCAGACAGCAGAACATCTCTCCACTGCAGACCTCGCTTTGGAGACTTGTGGATTCACATTATACCATGTATGGCCTTGCATACGAGATGGGGTAAACTGAGTCATTAGTAGAGCCATAAGCATGTCATCATGGGTTATATGTTAAGCTCCATTCAGAAGGTTTCTATATATGGGAAACACTTATTGAGCACTTACTATGTGGCACAGCCTGCTAAGGGGTTTTTATATGTTCGTTCGGTTGTGCCTCATAACAAGCCTATGGTATAATAGTATAATGAGCCTCATATTAAAAGTGCAGAGAGTTTACATACTATTTTCCAGGTAACAAATGGCAGAGTCGAAATTTGAGCTGTTATAGTCTTATTCTAGAGCCTGAACTCTTAATCAGAATACTATACTGGCTTTCACCATATGAATTACAGCTTCTCCAAATATATACTCAGGGTAGAAGTTGTTATGCAGGGGGCACTGGATGTGCTGGATGTGCCAACGAGTAGGTACATGCACAGTTTTAAGTGTATGTGTTTGTGGGTATATGCTTGCACATGTAAGATGTATGTGCATACATTTATTGATTAACATGTTTATTTGCAGTAATATGTTTGTGTTTATGTAAGTACATGTATGTATACAAATATGCACATATATATCCTGTGACCAGCAAAAGGTTTACATAAATGCATTGAATAAACAGACAATAGAGGGGCAAGCTTGGGGGAGAGGGAGGGTGTATGCCTTATTTTCAGAAATAGTCCTTGTCAGAAGTTCTCTAGGTAATTTAAACTAAAGCTAATTTTCTTTTTACTTCCCTTGGCATATGAAGGCCTTGTCAAGGAGATAAAGCAAATGAGAGTGAATTGGAGGAGGAGGGATGTGGGAGATGAGGGTGGCAGGAGCGGACTGCATGGGGTGGAGCTGAGGGGTCAGAGACTGAGCTCTCCACCTGAAGACAGGAAGACCAGGGCATTCATTGGTCGTGAGTTTCCAATATCATCAGGTTAAGATGAAACTGCAGAGACCTGGCTTCCTTCTACCAAAGCCAACCACATGACAATCACGAGCGTTCCAAACAGGCAAAGCGATGTCTTAGGGCCAGAGCTTAGTCACCCTTCATAGAAACGCCTCCACACAGCCAGCCTTGGTGCCATGCTCCTTGACTCTGTCAATGATTTGTCAATACACGCAACGGTTACGTGAAGACTGTCCCCATCTTTCTGAAAAATGCAGCTGGGAACACTGCCAATAGAATGGTGAATGTCCTCTTACTCGATGGCCTTAGGGGTATTCTTAGAGGTTAGTCGTTTCTCCAGACCAAATGGTAAGTTGAGTTTTAATAATGCACACATACTTTAGAAAATCCGATAATTCTTAAAGGATAATGAAGAAAATAAGCCCCGCATAATCTTGCCAAGAGAGGACGATGCTTAGTGGCTGGGTGCATGTACATCAAGTTTTTATCATAAAGAACATGTACTGGCCGGTGAGGTGGCTCACGCCTGTCCTCCTAGCAATTGGGAGGCCAAGGTGGGCGGACTGCCAGAGCTCGGGAGCCTGAGACCAGCCTGGGCAACACGGTGAAACTCCGTCTAACTAAAATACAAACAATTAGCTGGCTGTGGCGGCATGTGCCTGTAGTCCCAGATACTTGGGAGGCTGAGGCAGAGAATTGCTTGAACCCAGGAGGTGGAGGCTGCAGAACCCAAGATCATGCCACTGCACTCCAGCCTGGGCAACAGAGCAAGACTCTGTCTCCAAAAAACAAAAACAAAAACAAAAAGCAAAAACATGTACTTCAGGCTGGGCATGGTGACTCATGCCAGTAATCCCAGCACTTTGGGAGGCCAAGGCAAGAGAATTGCTTGAGTCCAGGAGTTTTAAGACCAGCCTGGGCAACATAGGGAGACCTTATCTCTACAAATAATTTAAAAAATTATTTGGGCATGGTGGTGTGCGCCTATGGTCCCAGCTACTTGAGAAGCTGAGATGGGAGAAATCCTTGAGCCCAGGGAGGTCAAGGCTGCGGTGAGCCATGATTGCACCACTGCACTCCAGCCTGGGCAACAGGGTAAGACCCTGTCTCAAGAAAAACATACTAACAAACAAAAATAAACATGCATTTGGTAGTTGAGATCACTCTGTATCTATAGTTTTGTATCCTGTTCATTGGACGTAATATTAATTATAGTTATTTTTTCTGTTATTAAACATTTGCAGAAATTACCATTTCAAATAGTTTGTGGTTTCACTGTAATTTATGTAAACATTTCCCTTTAGCCTCTTCTTTATGCCATTTAATTCTATTTAACCCCACTTTAAATATATTCTGAAACATCTCTAATAATTTCTGAGTGCAATAATATGATAATTGTGGGTAAAAATATAAATGTTTTTATGGTTCTTGACATAAATGCCTAGTTGTTTTCAGAAAGGTTATAAAAATTTATGATACTCTCACCAATAGTTTTTGGGTGTGCTTGTCTCAGAGGACTGTCTCTGGCATTAAGTTGATAGCTATATATATATATGTGTGTGTGTGTGTATAATATTTTATATATATCCATTACATGATATATGTGTGTGTATATGTATACTATTTTATATATATCTACTATATTATATAGGTGTGTGTGTGTATATATATATATATAGAGAGAGAGAGAGAGAGAGAGAAAGAGACAGAGAGGGAAAGGGCTGGAAATTTGCTTCCTTTTGTTATATTGCTCTCTTTGCATGTGTTCAGGGTTCGTTTTTGCCTACATCCTAGGATCTATATTGATATGAAATGCTGACCTAAATTTTTATAACTGTAATAATTATGTTCACTTGAGTTTTCTGCTATATGTTTGCTCACAGTGACATTTCTTGCACTGCCAAGCTAAGTTGACCCTTTGGAAGCCGAGACCCACCAATTCTCTGAAATGGTGAATATCCTATTAGTATCACCAGTGCCTTGGGCCTTGAAAAGCATGCCTTTGTGTTCAACCTTTATGACCCCACATTTATACTCTGTGGAGTACACACAGCTTGATGGCAGTTTTTTGAAGTTCTTGTAGAAACCTAAACATAGGATCTGGAAGGCAAGTCCTCAAGAATCTCTTCTCTCCTTATCTTTTCATCTCCAGATGCCTTTCATGGGTCTTTTGTTTTGCAGGGGTTTTCCAAGACTAGATAGGTGTATATATAGTGCTGCTTTATTGGGGCAGATTGGAGCAGGAAGGAGAAATAATGAGAATGTCATAATAAAGGGTCCTGACCTGGACAGAGGCAGCCCCATCTGGTTCCCCGTCTCTCCTGCATTCCACATATTGGGACCAAGAGCACATGACTTTTCTGCTCCACTGATAATAATGAGTAGACATCTGGACCCAGAGCTTTCATGCAACAATTTGCTCAGGGGTAAGGTGTGCAAGGTCTATGTGCACAGGGACTTGGGGAAGGAAACAGAAACCCCCAAAAGTCAGTGAGACAGCAGAATTTGAAAAGATGGCTCAGCCCTTCACAGCTAAGGCTGAAGCATGGGAGAAAAATTCAGGAAGATGTTTAAATTATCAGAGTATCACTCATGGGCAAGATGAGGACCAGTGTATGCAGGGACACTGTGCTGCAACCTGCTAGGAAAGAATTAGGAGGATTCTAACTGCAGTGTCTGATTGTTGGGAGATGCTAGGACTGGTTAATGTTGGCTAAATGTTGAAACCAAATAAGCACAGAAAACAAAAACAGAGAAAAACAGCTGAAGTTAGGAGGACTGAGTCTCCCCAGCTGCTCTGAGCCCTCAATGAAGAAAGACTTTAGCAGTTCCACAGGCCAGAGAGGGGACAAGGGCTGGGAGTAGATGGTCATATACCCTCCATGGCCCACTTCTGGAAGGAACAGATCAACAGCAGCCTGCCAACCCTTTGCCCTAATGGTACTACCAGTCTGGCAGCTCCTCCTGATTTCCAGCTGGGGTGGGGTCCTGTCAACAGCTAATTAGCATCCTGGAGATCTCTGCCATCATAAGTAGCCACTTCTGGGTTTCTGAGTCTTCTGAAACAGAGGTTGGCCCTGGAAGCCTCTGCCTTCATGACTTGGACTTCCATGTTGCTCTGGGTCTTTGAGGCACTCCTGAATCAGGCTGGGCAGAAGTTCCCAGAATCTTTCATCAACATAAAAAGTCTTTTAGCAAATGACTTCTATGAGCCTTCATTTCAAACTTCTTTAAGCTAACCAATATTAATGGAGCATCTCCGCAGTCTAAGAAGTAACTCCAAGCTTGGGGAACTGACATCATCACATGAAGGTCCTGGACTAGCGCAGGGACTCAGATGAGCTCAATACAGGAAGGTCAGCGGTGCCCCTCTGCAAAAGCATGCATGCTGCAGCGTACACTGGAGTCAGAGAGATATGAGGGGAAATTAACTCCTGAACTGTTTTGCAAGAGGGCTGTAGGCAATGTGCACAACTGAGAGGTCCTGGTGCGGTTCTGATGGAAGCTGGGAAGGCTAGAAGGAAGAGCTGAGGCATTGTAATTTACACATAATGTGACATGAACAGTGCCAACATTACGTTTCTTGCCTCAGAGTCAATCTTCACACTTTCTAAGGAAGAGGCCCTTCCAGGGCATTGGAAGTGAGAGCTGCTCCCTTCAAATGAAAGAGGGAGACCCTTTCTCCCACCTCAACCCCTACCATAAGTGAAGAAGTACCCTGGTTAGGCTCAGAAACAGAATTGAGGACTTGAGGGGAGTGGTTCTTATTGCTGTGTGGTGGCTGACACTCAGTGGCAGGTAGAAGGGGACCTCTCAGTGTTTCATCCAGACCGCTCTTACTCACTGGTGGCAATGGTGAGTAATAAATAAACAACAGTTTTGAGGGGGTGTAGGTGAATCAGTCAAGAATCCTTTCAGCGGCTTGTAGGTTTATCTTTCTCCAGAATAAGAAGTCTGGAAATAGGTAGCTGCTGAATCAATGATTTAGGAGCAGCTACCTAAAAGTCTCTTGTCCCTTCTCTCTTGGTCATGCATGGTTGCCACAGTACACATCACTAAGTCCACAATTAATGCAGAAAAAGGAGGTGGAGGAATAATGCTTTATGTTTCGTTTCTTTTCTTTTTCTTTTTTTCTTTTTTTTTTTTTTTTGAGATGGAGTCTTGCTCTGTTGCCCAGGCTGGAGTGCAGTGGTGTGATCTAGACTCACTGCAACCTCCACCTCCCAGGTTCATGAGATTCTCCTGCCTCAGCCTCCCATGTAGCTGGGATTACAGGTGCCCACCACCACGCCTGGCTAATTTTTTGTGTTTTCAGTAGAGATGGGGTTTCACTGTGTTAGCAAGGATGGTCTTGAACTCCTGACCTCGTGCTCTGCCTTCCTCAGCCTCCCAAAGTGTTGGGATTACAGGCGTGAGCAACCGCACCCAGCCTATGTTCAGTTTCTTACTCCTACCAAAAATATAGGTTGCCCTAGAAACTCAAATGATTTTTTTTAACCTCTAATTATACAGAGTCCGGTCAAAAGTATTCCTGAGTACAAGAAAAGCTGGAAAAGGCAGTATCTGACTCATTAGTCTCTATAGTTTAAGCTAGTAATAGAGATGTGGGTTAGAGTATGGGCTTTGAAAATGGGTTGATCAACCAACCTCATATGTTATATGTCCTTGAGATTGCCTAGATATTTCAGGACAATGTCAAGTTAGAAGGATTTTGCAAGGACCAATATCAATATTTGTATTAGATATAAATGGACTAAACACTCAAATTAAAAATGTTTTGTTATACTGCGTTAAAGAGTCAAGCCTGAGTATATATTGATTAAAAAAGATGGATTTTAAATATAAATACTGATGTGCTAAAAGGAAAAGGAAAAAGAAAAGCTATACCATACAAGCACTAATTGTAAAAATTCTGGAAAAGCTATATTAATATCTGTAAAAGTATTCCTTTCAGGCAATGTATTATGTAGAGATAGAGATTAGACCTCTCCTAAAGATAAGAGGTTAACTCATGAAAACAAAAAATTCTAAATGTATGTTCAACTGACAAAGTTTCAAAGTAGATGAAGAAAATCTGACACAAGAAAAGGCAGACAGAAAAATTTACAATTACAACTTGAGATTTTAATTTTCATTCTCAGTAATTAATGGAACTATTGTACTAAAAATGAGTAGTGATGTATACATTCTGAAGAGTATTATGAAATCACATTCAGTAGTTAAAACTTAGAAAACATGACACTCAGTAGCCACAAAATGGACATTTTAATTGAGAGTACATAGACACAATGTTGTGACAATATTGACCATATATTGAGCCACAAAGTCAATAAATTTCATGGGGTTCACATGACAGAGAGGCTATTCAGGACCACAATGAAATAAAATTAGAAAATCAACAAGAAAAATATATCCAGGTATTTCTCAAATATTCAAAATTTAAGCCAGACATTTCTAAAGAACTCACTAGTCAGAAAATAAATTATAATGAAAATGAGAACACACTTGAACTAAATTATAAACCACATATATCCACATTTGTGGAAGACAGCTAAAACAATACTTTAAAGTATATAACTTTAAAAGTTTACAGTAAAAATAGGACATATTAAAATCAGCAATCTAAGTTTTCACCTAATTAGGTTAACAAGAAAAAATCCACATTAAACAAAGTAGAAAAAAAAAAAAGAGAGAAGCCAAAATCAATGAAACAGATATCAAACAAATGTTAGAGAAAAATTTTTAAAAACTTACTCTTTTGAAAAGATTCAATAAAATTGATAAACTTTCTGTCTGATATAATCAAGAAAAAGGGAAGGAACAGATTATTTATATAGTCATTGAAAAAGGGAGCTATGACTACAGACCTTACAGGTATTAAATGACAAACAGGAGAATGTTATGAACAAATGTATGCCACATTATTTTTTTGCAACATAGAGGAAGGGACACTTTTAAAAACGGTATTTACTAAAACACATAGAAAAGAGTAATAGGGAATTTGACTAGATTTATGTTAGTTAAACAAATTAAATTCCTAATTAAAAATCTTCCCAAAAGAAAGCCCCAGGCTCAGAGGGCTTCACTAGTAAAATCTATCAGGCATTTAAGAAAATAAAATACCAATCCTGCAAAAATTACGTAAAAATAAAGGAAAAGGTACCCTTCCTAACTTAGGAGGTCAGCATAACTCTGATATCGAAACTAGGTAATAACATCATGTAAGGCTGAGGATAAATTTCCCATTCCAAGGAAAACTGGGCTTAGGATGAGTTACTTAACTTTTTTAAAGTTTTGGCTTTTTAACATCAAAATCAGAATGAAACGACTTTCCTTGCAATGTCACTTGATGAATAGAGAATGGTGTGTGTGTGTGAGCTTGTGTGCATATTTCTTGCCCATAGCAGATGCACCATAAATGGGAAATAGTATTAAACTATCTTAACATCATCTTCACATTATTGAAATGACCATATACCTTCCAGTGTGTCCACTCTGAAGGATGGCATGCACTTGGCTATGGCATGGATCAATTGATTAGCTGATTCAATGAATATTTTTTGAGCACCAAGTATGTCCTGGACACTTCATTAAGTATTGAATATAATAGAAAGCCATGCACAAAACAAATTCCCTACCCACTTAGAACTTACATTCTATTGGAGAAGAGACAATCAACCAGTAAATATCAAACACAGAGAATATAGTGACAGATAATGACAAGTGCTGCAAAGACAAAGCAGGAGTGGGGGGCAGAGCGAGTGGTGAGGACAGAGGTGCTGTTGTACACAGTGTATTCAGGGAGGCCCTCCAAGGAGGTAAAGTTTGAGCAGATAGTGGAATAACTAGAAAGGCTGACACAGGGAGACATCTAGGAGAAGTTTCAAAAAAAAAAAAACCAGCAGTGAGAACAAAGGTCAGGAATGTGTCTTGCCTCAGGGCCTGTGACTGCCCGGGATAGGAATGGGCAGATAGGGCGACCTGCACAGGAAAGGCTGAGACGGAGGTGTAGACCTCTGCTGTGCACAGGCTGTTGAGGAGGAAGCAAACCGTTTGGGATCCTGGAGTTTAGTGCTTGCTGTGCTCCTCCCTGATATCCACTGAGGGACAGAAGTTACCAACACAAAGGCCCAACCTGTTCTCAGATGTGGGGGCTACAAGTCCCCCAAAGGACTTTTCCACGTCAAAACCCTGGAACCTGTGAACGTGACCTTGTTTTGTTTAGTGAAAGAGTCATGGCAGACGTAACTAAATTTTAAAAATTGAGATGAGATCATCCTGGATTATCCAAGTGAAACCTAAATCCAGTGAAAAGTGCTCTTATAAGAGAAAGGCAGAGGATTTAAGACTCAGATGAGACGTCCACGTGAACACAGATGCAGAGGCTGGAATGATGCAGCCACACTTCAAGAGACCCTTGGAGCCAGCAGAAGCTGTCGGAAGCAAGGAAAGCTTCTCCCGTAGAGCCTGCAGAGGGAGCACTGGCCTTGGCCTGCTGACATCTTGATCTGGGGTTTCTGGCGTCCAGAACTGTGAAAGAATGAATTTTTATTGTTTTAATACACCCGGTGTGTGCCAATTTTTATGGCAGCCATGGGAAATGAATTCATGTGCCCTTGGAGAGCCAAGATGCAGACGTGGAAGGAGTCTCTCTCCCACCCTAGCCTTGAGAGAAAGCTGGAAAGCCTGTACGTAAAACCAAAACTTGTGTTAAATCCATCAGAAAGCTGAGGGTGTGAGGCAACAAGCTCATCTGGAATGCAAAGGAGGAGAATCTCCTTGGCCCCAAAAAGAGGTGAACAGGAAGGTGCAACCTGGGAGGAAGGGGTGGCAGCCAAGAGGAAAGGGTGAGAAATCAGCGATGGTGTTAATAAACCTATAAAGGCTGAGTGTGAGCATCGAGGCCCTGGGAACCCACACAGGCGCAGGCTCTTTCTCATGAATCTCGCCTTTCAGGAGAAAGATGGGGGTTGGTGGAGGCACAGAGAGAGCCTCCTGCAGTGGTGCAGGTGTGGAAGAAGTGTCAACTTGGCTGTGGGGAGTCTGGAAGCCTGGACCCCCTGCGCAGACCCCTCTCTCAAATCTTGTCACCCTCAAGGTACTGGTAAAGACTCATTGTTGAGAGAGACAGAGCGAGAGAGAGAGAGAGAGAGAAATCCTCTACCCTGAGAGGAAGGGGAGAAAACAGTTCTGAGCTCCGAATCTTCTATCAGTACCATGCTATCTTCAGCTACAAGAGGAGGGACAGATGAAAAATCATTGCTGCAGGCAAGATCCACCAATGAATGCTAAATTTAGTGGGCAAAAGTCTAAGATACAACTGGTGTTTACATGGCTTAAAGCTATCTCCCCCGGAACATTTAGCAACTTAAAAAGAAAAAAATAACACCTTTACAGCATGGAACCCTACCAGACATTGTCTTAACCAAGCAATCAAGGTCGACATCATTAGTAAGGACATACTGACTTTAGGTATCCCTGATACCATTGCTCTGAGAAAGACTGCACACCACATTATTTAATCACAGGAAAACTCCAGACAAACTCAAACGGAGGGATGTCTGTAAAATAACTAACCAGTACTCTTCAAAAGTGTCAAGGTTATGAAGTAAAGGGAGATTGAGAAAACATCACAGATTGGAGGACACTTACAGACATAACAACTGTGAAATGTGTGATCCTGGATCCTGAAATGGAAAAAACTGACAACAGTGCAAACTGAAAAGCTGATAAAATCTAAATATGTTCGTTAGTTTAAACAATAGTGTTAGGTAAAGGTTAATTTTCTAGGTTTGATATTTCTCCTGTTGCTATGTAAATTGATGACATAAGACGAAGCTGGGTGATAAGTGTATGGGAATTCTGTCTACTGTTTTCACAACTCTTATGAAAGTCTAAAATTATCTCAAAATAAGAAGGCTTAAAAAAATCATGGGCCTGACACTGCATGTACTTCCTGAGCATCTACAGTGCTGAAGTACATTGTCGCCTCATCTTCAAGGTGAAAGTCAAGTTAGATCATTTTGCATGACCTACTACTAAAATAATAATAATAATAATAAATACATAAATGGGCACACTGGGCGCAGTGGCTCACGCCTGTATTCCCAGCACTTTGGGAGGCCAAGGCAGGTGGATCACTTGAGGCCAGGAGCTCAAGACCAGCCTGGCTAAAATGGTGAAACCCCATTTCCATTAAAAATACAAAAATTAGCAGGGCATGGTGGCATGCGGGTAATCCCAGCTACTCAGAAGGCTGAGGCAGGAGAATTATTTGAAACTGGGAGTTCAAGGAGGTTACAGTGAGCCAAGATCGTGCCACTGTACTCCAGCCTGGGTGACAGAGCGAGACTTCATCTCAAAACAAACAAACAAACACACAAAAAACCATAAAGAGACCAGTACACATGGCAGACTGCTCTTGGTAATATTTTTGCATTTTGGAAGCAACATATACCTCATTTGAGTGGTGTGTGTGTTTGTGTGTACATAATGTATTTATTTACAAATTTCTCATCCTCTCCTGTTTCTTCCCTAATTATTTTAAAAAAGCATTTGGGTTACAAGTTTTTATTTTTTTCATAATTTAGTCTATAGATTAAATGATATTCAGATTATTTTGACTAAATTTGAGAATAACTAACATCACTCAGAGATGGATACCTGAGCTGTCATCAAATGTGAAGACGATGATTATTTTGCATTTTAAGTCCCATTTTGAGGTGAGAATCAGTGCATCTTCATTTTATGAAGGGATATTGCATCTTGCCTGGAGAATGCCTCAGGGTGTTACTGTTGCTCACTGAACTTCCTAGTGGTCATTTGATTTGCCTGGCCGCTATGCAGCCGAGGTGGGACTGCAGTTGCTAAGCTCTCAACTGGCAGCTTTAAACCAACCTTGCTCCAGGCCACTTTGTGATGTCATGCTGGGGACAGAGCTCTGCCAATAACCTTCTTCCTTTGCTAGCTTGCTTTTGGTCCTTCCTTTTCAGCTGCCGCCCTGCCAGCTCTGCCCAGAGTTAATTCTTCCCTCCAGGAGTTGCAGGTGGTCCCTCAGCAGTGGCTGCCTGCAGTAGCCACGGGTCCTGGTCTCCTGCTCCTACCAGCTCTCCCAGGGCCAGTCTCTTCACTCTTCTTCAGAGGGACAAGCATACCCTCCCCAGAGGTGGGTTTCAACCCTCATGGTCCCTCCTCTGAGCCCCAGAGGTGCGGCACAGCCTCAGCCTCAGAAGGCAGAGCCCAGCCAGCTCTGCTAGGTGCCTCCTTCACCCTTCTAGGTTCTAGTCACCCCAGCTTATCTCTATGCTATTCTCTGCCCTGGAGATTGAAGCTACTTTCTGCAATTCTTATCTCTGTGTCTCTGCACTAGGTCATTGTGTCTTTTTGTTGATCTTCTTGAGAGAGTTTCTTCATTTATAACAGAGTTGATAATACCGGATCTCAAAATGTTGCTGAGAGGATTAGCACACAACCTGGCACAGTGTAGGTGGTAGATTACTACTGTCCCTTTCAATTCCAGCATCGTGTGACGCCATCAATATACCAGGAAGGAAGTGCTAGGATCCTGCACCCATGATGACTTGGGGACCATAAGCTACTAGAGGGAGGGGCTGGCAGGAATTTCTGTCTTCAGGACCATGACGATAACAACAACAGTGACAACAGCAAATATGTACAAATCACTGAGCATGAACCAGGTACCACATATATTATGCACTTATCCTTATCAAATATTTATACTAGTAATGTTTATTTGCATTAAAACCAAGGCACAGAGAAATAAAGAGATCATTTAAGACTACACAGCCCACCAGCAGTACACCTAGGATTCAAACTCATTTGATACTCAGTATTTGTTGCAGAATTTGCAGTTTACTCAGCTCTACATTCTCTCAATTGATCCTGAGTAATTCTGCAATGCAAAGGGGACAGAAATGGCCATCCTCACTTTATAGATGAGGAAAGGAAGAATCAGGGAATTTCACACCTCCAGTGAGTTGCTGAGGTAGGGCTTGAACTCATTTTGTTTCTGACAATTGACACCAAGCCTGAGCTCCTTCTTCTAAGTCTGACCTTACAGGGGCCTCCCTAGGTACACAGCTCCCAGCTGTGGGCCTTTTTGGATCTCTGTGCTTTGATTGTGTTTGATTTATTTAAAAGCGACCCTATCTTACATCAATCCGGGGTTAACTGGTGTGAGTGGTGAGCACTTCGACTTCCCAAAGAGCTCCCTGCCTGGGGAGGGCCCTGATGAGTGGAGAAGAGGAACCAGACGGTTCCTTGTCTGGCTTTGGCAAATGGCTTTATGCTGATTCCTTTCAAAGCATCTTTTACTGACAGAGCAATTTCTCAGCACCAGAGCGGAGGAGCTCGCAGGACATGCAAATGAGGCAGAGGTGCCACTGGCATGGAAAGAATGGAAGCAGCATCCTAATGGCTCTGGAACGAAATACAGTCGTGGGGGGAAATTTACTCTGAAATTTCATTAGCTTTGCTGAGAAGCCTCTCCCCTACCCACCCATGCCACAGCATTCAGGCAGCCCCTCTCCCCAGGGACAAGGGGGCAGAGGGTTTCCTCAATGTCCATTTCAGGACACTGCAGCCATCTCCAGCCCTTGGTCAGCAGCACTGGAGCTACAGATGCTGCCCTGGGAGGCTCTTTTTCCATGGGGAAGTCTGCCCTGCCACCGGCAAGCTTGCCAACCACTTAGGGACTTTGGGACACGTGCTTCCCTCCTGGTCTTGGTGGCATCAGCCACGAGCATCTTCCTTTGAGGTTGAGCCCACAGTGATCTGGAAGAAGCTGAAGGATGACTCAGGCTAGAGAGCAAATCCCTGCTTTCAGGGCTGAGGCCACTTCAGGTGAACCTGGTGGCTGAAAAATGAAAGTCAAAAACATTTTAAATGAGTCATTCGGCCTCTTCATACTTGAGGATGTTTCCAGTTTTATCTTGGACCACTTGGAACCCCAGCTGTAATGAGAGCCTCCTGCCCCCCAACCAGGCCCCTCGTCTGTCCAGGCTGCCCTTTTCTCCTCTGCTGCCCCAGGAACTCACATGGAGCATCCCCTTCCCTCTGTTCTTCCTGGACCTCTCCCACCCTCTATGTAATGATCCCCTTCTCCATGCTGCCTTCATTACCCGGAACTTCCTGCACGGCATGAGTGGTGTCTCCTGTACTTGAACTGAGGGATCCCTTGATCAAGGAATGACTTTTTTCGCTCTCTGCTCACAGATCCTCACAAAGAAATCGGCTAAATGCACACTTCGGAGCTACACCTGGGCCTGTTCTGCACATTCATCTTGTTTGCTGACCATTTCTGACCTAACCTGAGCTCTGCAAGGTCCAGGCATGGCATGAGTGGCTGCTCACCACCAGGGATGTGCACACATCCACACACACACAGGCCATTCCTTCCCACCTTGTTGAATCCTCAGCTGAGCTCTGCATACTCCAGCCCTTCTGCAGTTGAGGGGATTATGGTCTCTGAATCTTCCCCTTTGCATTCTACTCAGAGCACGGAGGCTTCTCCCAGACAGAGGTTTCTGAGTGTAGGTAGTGCACAGGTAGAGTAGGGAGTGGAAGACACACAGAGAGACTCCTGAGTGGCTGGCATGTGTGAGAACTATTCCAGTGGATTTCCTAATTAAACTCCATGCTCTAATCTTCACTCTCTCGCTAGTTGGTAACAGCCATTCCCCAGTAACTGGGAGACTGCAGAGATGAAGGATCCCCTCCTACTTCTAGCAACAAGTCAACTGTAGACATGATCCAGTGGCCAGGTGCCCCTGCTTCAGCCTCAGACTTTCCTGCCCCTCTCCTCTGATGCTCCAGGGCTGCTGGGTGCTCACTAATGAGAGGCATCATCATTTCCACCAATTAACCACACCAAATGAGGCCATAAGTGACTATTCCAGCTGCCTCTGAGGTAGAAACACACACACCTCCCAGAAGGGAGGTAACGAGCAGGAAGCATGGAGTGAGCGGGAGGCCGTGACCTGGAGGAGTTAATGATCAGAACGAAGTAGCCCAGAAGAGGTGAGGAATACCCTTGGGAGTCTTCAGATCTTTGCTCGTCCCAAAACTCTCCCTGAAAAAACATCTATTCCTGCAGCTGTGAAGTGGGAAGTAGCCCAGGAGGCATCTGGATTTAGGACATATCCCCTTACACCTGCTCCCTAGGGGCCTGCTTACTACACAGTGTGTGTTCCACAAATGCAGGTTGTATTAGGGTCCTCTGGCAGGACAGACCTAATGGAATATTATATATATTATATATA
The DNA here is from genome assembly GCF_000001405.40 of Homo sapiens. Classification (NCBI taxonomy): domain Eukaryota; kingdom Metazoa; phylum Chordata; class Mammalia; order Primates; family Hominidae; genus Homo; species Homo sapiens. Next base: position 51,444 of record NT_187581.1, read on the forward strand.
CTATATATATATTCCACATATATATATATATATATATATATATATATATATATATATATATATGAGTTTATTAAGTATTAACTCACACAATCACAAGGTCCCACAATAGGCCATCTGCAGGCTGAGGAGCACGGAGAGCCAGTCCAAGTCCCAAAACTGAAGAACTTGGAGTCCGATGTTCGAGGACAGGAAGCATCCAACAGAGGAGAAAGATGTAGGTGGGAAGTCTAGGCCAGGATCTTTTCACATTTTTCTGCCTGTTTATATTCTAGCCGCACTGGCCGCTGATTAGATTGTTCTCAACCAGATGAAGGGTGGGCCTGCCTCTCCCGGCCCACTGACTTGAATGTTAAACTCGTTTGGCAACACCCTCACAGACACACCCAGGATCAATACTCGTTTGGTAACACCCTCCCAGACACACCCAGGATCAATACTCGTTTGGTAACACCCTCACAGACACACCCAGGATCAATACTCGTTTGGCAACACCCTCACAGACACACCCAAGATCAATACTTTGTATCCTTCAATCTAATCAAGTTGACACTCAGTATTAACCACCACAGGTGCAATAAATGAGCTGACAATCTACTGGTCTATGATATGATTTCTGAGGTTCTGGATTGGAAAACAGTCTAGCTTCCCCTAGGAATTAGGAGGGATCATCTCTTTGCTGAAGCAAAGTCCTATCTTAATGCCACTGCCCACCCCACGCCTCTTTGGGGAGGATGTGCAAAACATCTGGCACTGAGGGAGTTAGGACAGTCAGGTCAGCCAGTGTTGCTCAGTCCATAGTACGTGCCCCATAAATACTTTGCAATAAATTCATCAATTATGCAGTAGGGCTGGCACTTACAATTCACTGGTCCTGGGTCTCATTGCTGTGGCGTGATTTCTGGAATCTAGTGCAATTATGGAAAGGGAGGGTAGGGGCACAGAGTGGACTCACATCCTGACACCACTTAGTGATGTGATCTTGTGGAAGGGAGAAAAACTTAGCATGCAATTAAACTCTCAGAACAATCCTCAAAATAGGGAGAACAGTATCCCCATTTTATGCAGACCGAAACTGAGTCTCACAGAAGTGAGTGGAACTTAGGCTGGTCAAGCTAGTGAGTGTGAGAGCTGGGTTTTGAATCCAGGTTTCTTTGACTTCAAAGCCTGCTGTTTTTAACCAGATTATATACTGCTTTGGTGCTCTCATTTGTAACTTAGGGAAATGAATATCCAACTCATGGGTTGCTGTGTGGATTAAGCAGAATAATGAGAAAAACAGCAAGCACAGTTCCTTGATTATAGAACTTAATAAGTCAAAATTCTTTGTCTGTCTTTCACTGTAGACAGATCCACAAGGTAGTATTGTGGCAACCTTGTAAAATGAGGTCAAAATCCATTATTAGTCTTATAATTTATCCACTAGCCTGTCTGCCTCATTTATGTACTTGTTTATAGCCTGACTTATTCGTGAAACAATTTAAGGCAGCCAATAAACATGCACATAGTTCAACGAGTTAAATTAAAATTTAAATTATTGGGATAAAAAAGATGTACACAGAGAAAATAAGGGTAGGAAACCTAAGGGAAGGGTAGGAGGGAAATTAGGTGTGGAATACAAAGCCTGTGGAGCTCGTATCTGGATACTCCTGTGTATTTCCTGTGTGTTGGCCCACCTTTGGCTCCAAGATTTCTAGAAGCTACAGCAAAGATGGGAATCTGAATATTTTTCATGGTGTCCACAAGATTATTTATTTTTCCTGAGAGAAGCACAGCCTCTTCTAATATGGAGATCAAGAATATTTCTCAACAGAGAGGATACTATTTTCCCACACACTCTACCACACAAGCAAAGCTGCTTCTGCAGAGAACACACATGTGCCCCTTTAGGATCCTGATAGTCCAGATTGCATCTGAGTGTAATTACCCAGAGTGGGCCCTTTCACTCTCAGTTTTTAGAGTGCATTATGTGGTCACCCTACTTATCACCTCCCATCCCCTTGCCTGCAAATTTCCCTTCTCTGTGCACTCAGAAACTATCTTCAAGTCCTGCCAAAATGGCTACTCTCCTCAAATTAAGTGAATTTTTCTTTTTTCCTGAACTCCTACAGTTGTGTTTTTTTTTTGTGTGTGAATAAAGTGATTTTTCTTTTTTTCTGAACTCCCACAGTTGTGTTTGTATGTGTTGGGGAGAGGAGTGAGTATAGATTTGAGTCTATGGACTTGAGTCTCCTGAATAATATATATTTATAATATATAGAAGCATATATTTTAAAATATTTACATAATATATATGTATATATGTGTGTGTGTATATATATGTATGTGTCTGTGTATATATATGTGTGTGTATATATATGTATGTGTGTGTATATATGTATGTGTGTATATATATGTATGTGTGTATATATGTGTGTGTATATATATGTATGTGTGTGTATATATATGTGTGTATATATGTACGTGTGTGTATATATGTATGTGTGTATATATGTGTGTATATATATGTGTGTATATATGTATGTGTGTGCGTATATATGTATGTGTGTATATATGTGTGTATATATATGTATGTGTGTGTATATATGTATGTGTGTGTATATATATGTGTGTGTATATATGTATGTGTGTGTATATATGTGTGTGTATATATGTATGTGTATATATATGTATGTGTGTGTATATATGTGTGTGTATATATATGTGTGTGTGTATATATGTGTGTATATATGTATGTGTGTGTATATATGTGTGTGTATATATATGTATGTGTGTGTATATATGTGTGTGTATATATATGTGTGTGTGTATATATGTGTGTGTATATATGTATGTGTGTGTACATATGTATGTGTGTATATATGTATGTGTGTATATATGTATGTGTATGTATATATGTATGTGTGTATATATATGTGTGTGTATATATGTATGTGTGTATATATGTATGTGTGTATATATATGTATGTGTGTATATATGTATGTGTGTGTATATATGTATGTGTGTGTGTATATATGTATGTGTGTGTATATATATGTATGTGTGTGTATATATATATGTATGTGTGTATATATATGTGTGTGTGTGTGTGTGTGTGTGTGTGTGTGTATCTGTTTTTAGGAGTGAATGTGCAATTTCTGGTTTAAGGCTCCATAGTTTACATCAGAAAAGGAACTTGTCACCACAGAATTCTGTTCTAGAACCTGCTCAAAGGCCTCTGGGCAAACGTTGCCAACCCTGTGGCTTTTGTGTGGAGCTTCTCAAGATGCCTTGGATTTGCCAAGGGAGAGAGGTGAGCAGCCTTTCTGGGGTCATGCTGAAGATCAGTAGTTGGGACGAAATGAAGACCCAGGTCTGTGGACCCCTGGTACAGGCCTCTGGATTCTCTACTCCTGAAATTCTCAAAAAGTAGCATATAGGGACCAAAGAAATAAGCAGAATTAATGGAGTCACTTCAGACATCAAAATAAACTTCTCACATTTACCTCTTCAGGACTGGAGGAGGTAAAGACACCATAATATTCTAGTCACAGAGTATGGCATTATCCTTTTGTTCTCTGACACATTCTCCCTATTTTGGAAATATCCCCTGTGTTAAAGTCATTTGAATTACCTCCACTGAGTGTGCAATCTCCCTCTCACCAGACTTGATTGACAAAGACACCAATTTCTGTAACACATGTATGTACAGGAGCCAAATGAGATGATGACTAAAAACATGTAGAACTCAAAGACTCATATGAAGGTGGCCACCCTTCTGCCCTTGAATCACGTGTAACAATTCCAAACATGACATATGACCCACGTGAATAACATGATCCTAATGAATTAATCGGAGGTTACAGGAAGGCAGGAATATGTGTTTTTCTCCTTTCTTCTCTTATTTAAAAAACAATTGTGGCCACGTGTGGTGGCTCACACCTGTAATCCCAGCACTTTGGGAGGCCAGTGTGGGTGGATTGCTTTAGGTCAGGAGTTTGAGACCAGCCTGGCCAACATGGTAAAACCCCATCTCTACTGAAAATTCAAAAATTAGCCAGGCATGGTGGTGTGAGCCTGTAATCTTAGTTACTTGGGAGGCTGATACAAGAGAATCACTTGAACCCAGGAGGTGGGGGTTGCAGTGTGTCAAGATCATTCCACTGCACTCCAGCCTGGGCAACAGCATGAGACTCCATCTAAAAAATTAAAAAATAAAAAATGAATAATAAAAAGCAATTATATTAAATAGTGTGCATATAATGTATCATTGTGCCTATAACATAAAGAAGTATAATATATATGTAATATGTTTGCCTATGACAGCATAAAAGAGGTAGGTGAAAGCAAACTGTATTAAGCTGAGAAAATGGTAAAATCAAAATTAAAATCAGCTTATCAAAATTTGTAAGCTATAAAAATAGTGCTTAGAAGAAAGTCGTAGCATTGAACACATATATTAGAAAAGAAGAATGAACTAAAATCAATCACCCAAACTTCCACCTTAAGAAAAAAAGCAAAGTTATTTAAAGCAAGGAAAAGAAACTAAATAATAAAAAGTTTAGAGAAATCAATGAAATTAAAAACAGGAAATTAGCACAGAAAATCAATGAATCCAGAAGCTTTTTTTTTTCCAAAAATATCAACAAAATCAATAAGCTACTAGCCAGGCTAAGAAAAAAATGAGAAGACACAAATTACTAATATCAGAAATGAAAGAGAGGACATCACTACAGATCCCATAGACTTCAAAAGGATAATCAGGAAATACTATGAACAACTTGATGCCTACAACTGTGATAACCTGGATGAAATGGACCAATTCCTTAAAAAAAATACCACCTGCCAAAACTGACAGAAGAAGAAACAGACAATCTAAATAGGCCTATATGTATTAAATATATGGAACCAACAATGAAAAACCAAAAACAGTAAGCACTAAACCCAGATGGGTGAATTCTACCTCACACTTAATAAATAATTATACCAATTCTCTATAATCTTTTTTAGAACACAGGAGAGGGAATACTTCTTAACTCATTCTGTGAGGCCATTATCACCCTAATACTTAAACCAGACAAAGACATTGCAACAAACGAAAATACAGAGCAATATCTTTCATGAACATAGATGCAAAAATCCCCAACAAAATATTAGCAAATTAAATTCGAAAACATATAAAAATAATTATACAACATGATCAAGTAGGATTTATTCCAGATATGCAAGACTGGTTCAACAGTTGCAAATCAATAATGTCATTCATCACATCAACAGGTTAAAGAAAAATCACATGATTATATCAATAGATACAGAGAAAACATTTGACAAAATTTCATACCTACTCATAACAAAAATTCTCAGCCAGCTAGGAATAGAGAGGAACTTCCTCAACTTGATAAAGAACATCAACAAAAATCCTACAACTAACATCATACTTAATGGTCAGAAACAATGCAAGGATGTCCCCTCTCACCATTGCTTTTCCCTTCCTTTCTCCTTCCCTTCCCCTTTCCTTCCCTTTCTATTCCTCTTCTCTTCTCCTTCCCTTCCCCTTTTCTTCCCCTTCCTTTCCCCTTTCCTTCTTCTCTTCTCCCCTCCTCTCCTTTTCCTTTCCTTTCCTTTTTCCTCCTTCATTCTTTTCCTTTTTTTTGAGACAGAGTCTTTCTCTGTCACCAAGGCTCCAGTGCAGTGGCACTATCATAGCTAACTGTAACTCTGAACTCCTGGACTCAAGCAATCCTCTCACCTCAGCCTTCTGAGTAGCTAAGACTAAAGGCATGCATCACCACACCTGGCTAAGTTTTTTAAAAAAATTTTAGAGACAAGCTCTTGTTATGTTACCCAGGCTGGTCTTGAATTCCTGGCTTCAAGTACTCCTTCTGCCTCACCCTCCCAAAGAGCTGGGATTACAGGCATGAACCACCACACCCAACTTCACCACTGCTTTTCAACATTATGCTAGAAGTCCTAGCTAATGCAATAAGACAAGGAAAAGAAATAAAATATATACAAATCAGGAAGGCAGAAATAAAACTCCCTTTTTGTCTAGGTAGACGATCTAAAAGAATTAACACTACCAACAACAACATTCCTGGAACTAATAAACAATTACAGCAGGTTGAAGAATACAAGGGTAAGATTCAAAAGTCAATCATTTTCCTACACACCAGCAATGAACAAATGAAATTTGAAATTACAAACACAATACCATTTACACTAGCATCCAAAATAATGAAATACTTAGGTATAAATCTAACTAAATATACAGAAGAGCTACATGAGGAAAATTATGAAACCCTTTGAAAGAAATCAAAAAAGGACTAAATAAATGGAGGGATATTTCATATTTGTGGATATGAAGGCTCAATATTGTAAAGATACAAGTTCTTCTCAATGTGATCTATAGATTCACACAATACCAATAAATATCTTAGCAATGTATTTTGTGGCTGTTGACAAATTGATTTTAAAGTTTGTATAGACAGGCAAAAGACCCCGACTAGCCAGCACAATATTGAAGGGGAATAACAAAGTTGGAGGGCTAACAGTATCTGATTTGGAGAATTGCTATAAAGCTACAGTCATCAAGACAGTGTGATATTGGCAAAAGAATAGACAGTTGATCAATGGAATAGAATAGAGAGTCCAGAAATAGACCAATATACATTTAATCAACAGATCATTGATAAAGGAGCAAAGACAATACAGTGTAGTGAAGACAGTCTTTTCATCAAATGGCACTGGAACAACTGGACATCCACATACAAAACTATATACACACACACACACACACACACACACACACACACACACAGAGCTAACATCCTTTGCAAAAAATAACTTCACATGATCACAGACCTAAGTGTAAAATGCAAAACTATGAAACTCCTAGAAGATAAAATAGGAGACAAACTAGATGATTTTGGCTTTGGTGATGACTTTTTAATGAAATACCAAAGAAGCAGTACATGAAAGAAACAATTGATAAGCTAGGCTTTGTTAAAATAAAAATTTCTGACCTGCAAAAGACACTGTCAAAAGAATGAAAAGACAAGCCACAGACTGGGAGAAAATATGTGCAAAAGTCATGTTAGTTTAAAAACTGTTATCTAAAATATAAAAAGAATTCTTAAACTCAAAAATAACAGCAAAATCAACCCAATTAAAAAATGGCCCAGAGACTCTAACAGATACCTCACCAGAAAATTATCAAAATGTCAAAGAAACAGATGAAAAAATGCACCACATCATAGAAATGCAAATGAAAACAGCAATGCAATAAACCTATTAGAATGGCTACAATTCAGAACACTGACAGCAACAAATGCTGGCAAGAATATGGAGCAACTGGAACCTCATTCACTCATTGCTGGTGGGAATGCAAAATAGTACAGCCACCTTGGAAAACAGTTCAGTGATTTCTTAAAAACCAGACATACTGTTAACATATGGTCCAGCAATCATGCTCTTTTGTATTTTCCTAAAGGAGGTAAAAACTTACGTTCACACAAAACCTGCACATGGCTGTTTATAATAGCTGTATTCATAGTTGCCAAAACTTAGAAGTAACCAAGATGTCTTTCAGTAGATGAAAGGATAAATACACTGTGGTGTAACCAGACAATGGAACGTTATTCAGAGCTAAAAATAAATGAATGATAAAGCCATGAAATAACATGAAGGAAAATTTAATGTATATTACCAAGTCAAAGAAGGTTATCTGAAAAAGCTACACAGTGTATGATTCCAACTATATTGCATTCTGGAAAAGGTAAAACTATGTATTGAGTAAAATGATCATGGTTGCCAGGGATTCGGGGGCAAGAGGGTTGAGTAGGAAGAGCACACAGGATTTTTAGGGCAGTGAAACTACTCTGTGATGATACTATAATGGTGAATACGTTTGTCCAAACTATGGAATGAACAGCACTAAGAGTGAACCCTAACGTAAACTATGAGCCTGGGTGATAATAATTTGTCAATGTAGGTTAATCAACTGTAACAAATGGACCGCTCTAGTCGGGGATGTAGATATTAGGGAGGCCATGCATGTGCTGAGGAAGAGCGTGTGTAGGAAATCTTTCGATCTCCTGCTGACTTTTACTGTGAACCTAAAACTGCTCTAAAAAATAAAGTTTATTTTAAAAATTAGACCTGATAAACAAGTTCATCAAGGTTGCAGAGCACAGGAACAATACATAAAAATCAATTAAGTTTCTATATAATTGCAATGAACAATCCAAAAATAAAGAAAACATCTATTTACAGTATTATTAAAATATTACAGTATTGTAAACAAATTTAACAAAAGGAAGGGAAATACAAACTCTGAAAACCATAAAACATTTTTAAAAGATATTAAAGAAGGACTAAATAGTTGGTAAACCATCCCATGATTATGGACCGGAAGACTTAAAATTGCTAAGACGGCAATACTCCCCAAAGTGATCTACAGATTCAACACAATCGCCATCAGTACCTCAACTGACTTTATTATACAAACTGACAAGCTGATTCTAAAATCCACATGGAATGGCAAGAATAGCCAAAACAACTTTGAAAGAGAAAAACAAAGTATGAGTAATCACACTTTCTAATTTTGAAACTTACCACAAAGCAACTTTATACAAGACTGTGTGGTACTGACAAAACAATGGGCACACAGACCAAAGGAAGAGAATTGATGCTCCTGAAGCAAACCTAAACATCTACCATCAGATAACTTTTGACGAAGCTCCAAGACCATCCAATGGAGACAAAATTGTCTTTTTAATAAACGGTGCTGGAAAAACTGGAGAACTACATTCCAGAGAATGAAGGTGGAGCATGACTTCACACCTATACAAAGATTATATCAAAATGGATCAAAAACTTACATGTAAGGACTAAGACTACCAAACCCTTAGAAGAAAACAGAGGAGTAAAGTTTCAGAAACTTAAATTTGGCAAAGTATTCCCACATATTACATCAAAAGCATGAGCAAGAACAACAAAATTAGACTTCATTAAAATGAAAAAAAAAAAACTTTTATGGTTCAAAGGACACCACTGAGAAAATAAAAAGAATGCACAGAATGGGAGAAAATGTTTACAATCATATAACTGACAGGGGACCTGTAACCAGAATTTATAGAGAACTTTTACAGTTGTATGATAAAGACAACCTAATTAAAAATGGGCAAAGTAACTGAATAGACATTTCTCCAAGGATCATATATAAATGGCCAAAAAGCACATGAAAAGATGCTCAACATCATCAGTCATCAGGAAAATGCTAACCAAAACCACAATAAGATACCACTTCAGACTCACTAGGATGATTAGAATTAAAAAGACAGAATATGGAGAAACTGCAATCCACACACAGAGCTGCTGGGAAGGTAAAGTGGAGCAGCGACTTTGAAAAATAGTCTTGCAGCTCTTCAAATGATTAAACATACAGTTACCATAAGATCCAGAAATTCCACTCCTAGGTTCATCCCCAAGAAAAATAAAAATACATGTTTACACAAAAAGTTGCACACAAATGTTTATAGCAGCATTATTCATAGTACCCAAGAGGAAAACAACCCAAATGTTCACCAACTGATGAGTGGTCGCACAAATTGTGATCTATTATTGCAATGGAATTTGTTTGGCCATACAAGGAGTGAAGTACTGACAGAGGTTACAACAGAGGTGAACCCTGAGAACCGTATGCTAAGATGCCAGCCAGTAAAGGCCACATACAGAGATAGAAGGCAGATTAAAGGTTGCTCAGGGCTGGTGGTGGAGTAGGGAATAGAGGAGCAGTGGGTGATGGCTAAAGGTATGGAGTTTCTGTTTGAGGGTGGTAAAATGTTCTAAAATAGACTGAAATGATGGTTGCACATATCTGTGAATATACTACAAAACATTGAGTGATACACTATTTTTTTTTTTTTTTTTGAGACAGGGTCTCACTCTCCTGCCCAGGCTGGAGTGCAGTGGCATGATTGGAGCTCATCATAGCCTCAACTTCTTGGACTCAAGCGATCCCCCCTCCTCAGCCCCCAACATGGCTGGGACTACAGGTGCGTGCCACCACACTCAGCCAATTTTTTTGGATTTTAGTAGAGCTGAGGTCTTACTATGTTGCCCAGCTGGTCTCAAACTCCCAAGCTCAAGTGATCCTCCCAACTCAGCCTTTCAAAGTGCTGGGATTTACAGGCGTGAGCCACCATGCCTGGCCAAATTACACACTTTATGGGAAATTGGGGCTGCCCCACCTAAGTCCCTTTATGAAAACTCTTGGTGCTGGGCCCTCAGGGCCTCTGGCTTTCCCTTTCCCACCTTCACCCCAGCTCCCCATCTTCTTCTGTTTCCTTTCACTGGCTGCAGTCACCACTCACCTCAGCCTCCGGTGCTCTGTGATTGGTGAAGTCTCTAGTTTCATTTTTCTGTCTACATTGGGCTTCAGTTTGTTTACATGGGAACTCACAGTGCTGCAGCCATCCCAGTCTAAAGGCCTCCCAGTTGAAACAGCATTTTAACAGGGCAATAAAGAACCACGAGGATCAGCAATGGGTACAATGAGCCCAACTCCTCCTGAAGGTGCCCTTGCAGGGAGAAAAACTAAGCCCCAAAGGAGGAGGATGGAGACCAGATCTAGAGCTCTGACCTCTAGCTCCCCACCCGGCACAGACCTGGACCCTGACCTGCCCTCTGGCCGCATGGCCACCCACAGTTCCATCCGAGGTCCCCTTTGTCCATGGCATCTCCTGACTGCTCAAGTCCCACACACTGATCTCCTCACATACATCAAGAATGCTCAGAGAGGTGAAGGCCTTGTTGGCTCACACAAGGTGGCCAGTATTTAGGTTTGTCGGTTTGTTTTTGTGGTTTTGTGGTAACGAGGAGTGGGAAGTGAGCAGGGGGCTGAAGACCAGAGCCCTAGGGGCTAGAAGCTTCATTTGATGGTTTGGAGGCTCAGCACACTTCAAGAAGGCCACACAAGCTCAGGTGGGCTATGTCTGTCAAGGTAGGCTTCCAAAATCACTCCACAGTTTCATGTGGCTGGGGCAAACCCAGGTGACCCCTTTCCATGGGGCTCAGACTGGAGCTGCAGATGAAGGCCTGGATGAAAACCAGCAGCCAGCACAATCACATTATAGCATGCACATTGCTACCAAGTCGCCTCCATTTCCCATTTTGCCAATAGTAATGGACTTAAGTCTCCTTTTATTTTTATTTCAAAAATTTCTGTTTTACAAGATTTCAACTTCTGGTAATGTGCTCATAAAACACAATTCCAGTGCAAAGTGGCAATGATTAAATTAAAACTTAATGAAGCTTGAAGAGCCGGGGCAGTTCCTACTTGGGGAAAACAGAATCCCGTATGGTCTTTTTGATCAATCAGCCAGCCCATCACGAAAGCAAGTTTCTTCATCAGCAACTCCCATTGCAAACATTTCCAACTGAAGAACCAAGTTAATCGGGAGGGGTTTGCATTGGGAGAAAAGAAAGCTAGTGAGCTTAGAACTCATGTCCTCCTTCCTAATACATAACCATCACAAGACCTCTGCTTAGTGTAGCTGGTACATGCACCCACATGATTTCCTTGGTGCTCACAGCAGCCCTTTGGGTTAGAAGCTATATTTGGTCCCCAGGGCGGTACAATGAGTTGTGGGCACCTGGACAGGCTTGTTCCTGGCTCCACCTGCTCCATGACTAGCTGGGAGACCTTGGCAGGTTCTGGGAATATTCCTCATGAGAAAAGTGCTGCTATAGGATTAAATGAGAAAACGGATGGAAAACAGCAGTCGTCTCTCAGTACACGGCAGCTGCAGCTGCTGCAATTGTTTTAATCACTACACAGAGCCCACTGCTGCCTAGGGCATCATCTGCCTTAGCCTGCACAATTGCCTACCAGGGTGGGCTGTTGAACCCAGGTCCTGGGTGAGGCAGGACTGAAGGCCCATTGAGAAATCCCCATTCTCAATCATCAGATTAAGAAGAGTCAAAAGCCTGTGTTTCTAACTGCGGCTGGAGCCCTGGAGTCCGAGAGCACTAAAATCAACTCCAGCAGCAAAGGGCAACTCAAGGAAGATTCTCAGTGGACTTGGTGTTTTCAGGAATAGCCTCAGGTTTCTAGCAGAGCCTTTTGTCCATTTCTTTCTCCGATCCTACCCTTCTCTCCCTTGCCCTTTTCACCCCCTTTAGAATTTGATATAAAGCTGTTGCTCACTACAGTGGCTCTGCCTGGACCTTTTCAGACCTTTTGAGGGAAATGGCAATTTCCCTCAGAATGTTTCCCATAGTACAAGTCCTTGGGGGCACACGAGGGGCTGAAGTAGGAACGTCAAGACTCAGGGGCTGGGCCCAGTGCAGACACACTGGGGGAAAGAGCTTCAAAGCGAAGGTGCCCACCTCCCTCCCAGCCCCGATCCTCTGCTAGGGGCACTGTGGTGGTGGGGAGTGGGAAGATGCTGTAGCTCAGAAGTGAGGCATGTGAGTCAACTGAAGGGCTGCTAACGACTGCCCTTGTCATCTTTGGCAAACTTTCTTCTCTGGGCCTCAGTGTCCTCCTCTGGGAAGTGGATGCCCCAGTCAGTGCTGGTGAGGGTCAGAGGAGGTTAAAGTACTGCTTCCTCACACCTTAACTCCTCTGCCCCATGATATCACCCCTAGAGTCTGGGTCTTCCCTGGCTGTGGGGAGGAAACCTGAGGTGGGGCCGAAGCAGTGGTGGTGGGAAAAGTGGGTTAGTTGGCTTCTCTGCAACTCTGTGTGGAAGCTGCACCCCAGAGGCCTGAATCCCCAGTTACTGAGACAGAGAGGAGGAGAAACTCCTTCAGCCCCTCCTCCTCCAAGCACGGGAGCTGGGAGGTTTGTGTCCCTGCAACAGTGGAAGCCAGGGTTATGCCTCCTGCCAGGGGCTTCATGGCCTGAGGTCTTGGAGGTGGCTCACATGCCCCAAACCTCACCCTCTCTGTCCTCCCTCTTCAGTGGGTCCAATCAGAGCCTGGCACCAAGGTCAGCACCACCCAGGAACTTGCCATGAAGTCCCCACGCCCAACCACCCGTGTTCACAGTCCCACTGAGCAGGGGCTGCAAAACAGAGAGGGCTTCACGTGGACCAGTGGGGAGCTGCCTGGGCATCAAAGACTTGGGCAGAAGCCACGCTCCCTTGGCAGCGACCTCTCAGTTCCCAGCAGCAAACTCTTGTGAAGAGGCTCACGCACACTCAGGCTCCTGAGCCCTTCACAGAGGGGCATGAAGCTGCAGCTCTCGGGCCTCCAGGGATATGTCCCCAGGCATAAGAGCCCCCTCAGAGCAGAAAGGAGGAGTCAAGCATGGGTCAGGGCTCCTGACACCCACAGGGGAGGGCCCCAAGCAAGACCAGGAGGCCTTCTCCCTGTGTCACTAGAAATCCTCCAAGACGTACAAACCGGTAATAAACCATCTTTTTTCAAATTATCACAGGCCACGCAAGTATGCAATGGTCTAAATATGTCTGTTTAAAAGACAATAATTTGCCACCTCACCAATAAAACTAAAATACTGCCCCGCCACCCACCCCACAAAAAAAAAATGCCCAACCATCTGAAAGCAGGTTCTCCTTCCTCAGAGCCTTTGCTGATGACCCTGCCTGCTTTGTTGTTTTAAACATGAGATGCCCTCTTGGGACACGTGTCCCCCTGTGTTTGCTGGAGCATTTTGAGGAAAGATTCTTAAGCTCTCTCCTGTTTTTTCAGAATTCTATACATTTTGTCAATTTTGTCAGGGGTAACGAGCCCAGGCATGTGGTGATGCCTTTCAGACTTTCCACAAAATCCCAGGAAGCCTATGGAACGCCTCTGTGTGGAGATGCCCAGCCTGCACACCCGGAAGTGGATGCTCGTTTTCATACTTCGAGCTGAGGTTGGTGAATCCACTACGAAATGCTTGATTTTATCGCATGGGCCAAGGCAGTGACCTGAGTGGCGGCTGCCAGCTGAACAAGGAGCATTTTCTGGCCTACTCTCTAATCCCAGGATGTGAGGAGGACTTTTAACATTAATGTGAACTCATATGGACTTTTCGACTTAATTTGCTGAATCAATTATATCGGAGCCTCCTTTGAAAGGGTACTTTTCAAGAAATGAGTTAAAGAAAACAATACACAACTCTCAGAGCAATATCTAGCACACCTCTGTTTGTACTCTAACTTTGTTAAATTTTACAGTGTTTGATTGATATAAAGGATGCATATATTCAGTGCATACAGTGTGATGATTTCATCTGTGTATGCATTGTGTAATGATTGTGTAGTGATTACCACAATCACAGTAACTAAAGCATCCATCACCACCCAGCTGTACTTTAGAGCCCCAGGACCCATTCATCTTACCACTGAAACTTTGAACATTTTGACCAGCATCTCCCCGTTTCCCCCAAGCCCAGCCCCCGGCAGCCACATTCTCCTCTCTATGACCAGCATCTCCCCGTTTCCCCCAAGCCCAGCCCCCGGCAGCCACATTCTCCTCTCTATGACCAGCATCTCCCCGTTTCCCCCAAGCCCAGCCCCCGGCAGCCACATTCTCCTCTCTATGACCAGCATCTCCCCGTTTCCCCCAAGCCCAGCCCCCGGCAGCCACATTCTCCTCTCTATGACCAGCATCTCCCCGTTTCCCCCAAGCCCAGCCCCCGGCAGCCACATTCTCCTCTCTATGACCAGCATCTCCCCGTTTCCCCCAAGCCCAGCCCCCGGCAGCCACATTCTCCTCTCTATGACCAGCATCTCCCCGTTTCCCCCAAGCCCAGCCCCTGGCAGCCACATTCTCCTCTCTATGACCAGCATCTCCCCGTTTCCCCCAAGCCCAGCCCCTGGCAGCCACATTCTCCTCTCTATGACCAGCATCTCCCCGTTTCCCCCAAGCCCAGCCCCTGGCAGCCACATTCTCCTCTCTATGACCAGCATCTCCCCGTTTCCCCCAAGCCAGCCCCTGGCAGCCACATTCTCCTCTCTATGACCAGCATCTCCCCGTTTCCCCCAAGCCAGGCCCAGCCCCTGGCAAGCCACATTCTCCTCTCTATGACCAGCATCTCCCCGTTTCCCCCAAGCCCAGCCCCTGGCAGCCACATTCTCCTCTCTATGACCAGCATCTCCCCGTTTCCCCCAAGCCCAGCCCCCGGCAGCCACATTCTCCTCTCTATGACCAGCATCTCCCCGTTTCCCCCAAGCCCAGCCCCCGGCAGCCACATTCTCCTCTCTATGACCAGCATCTCCCCGTTTCCCCCAAGCCCAGCCCCTGGCAGCCACATTCTCCTCTCTATGACCAGCATCTCCTCATTTCCCCCAAGCCCAGCCCCTGGCAGCCACATTCTCCTCTCTGCTTCCATGAGCTGGACTTTTTAGGTTCTACATGTAAGTGAGATCAGGTGGCATTTGTCTTTCTGTGCCTGCCTTATTTCACTTGGCACAATGTTCTCCAGATTCATCCGTGTTGTCTTAAATGGCAAGATCTCTCTTATCACTGAGTAATATTCCAGTGTGTGTGTGTGTGTGTGTGTGTGTGTGTGTGTACCACAGTGAGATATTTCCTCACACCTGTTAGAATGGCTAGCACAAAAAAGACAAGAGGCAGAAAGTGCCAGTAACGATGTGGAGAAAAGGGAACCCTGCTGGGGAGAATGTGAATTGGTATGGCCATTATGGAAAATAGTACAAAGGTACCTCAAAAACCTAAGAATAGAACTAGAACTACCATATGATCCAGAAATACCACTTATGGGTACATATCCAAAGGACTTGAAATCGGTATCATTGCAGCCCCATTCACAATAGCCAAGATATGGAAAAAGCCTAAGTGTCCATCAACAATGTGAATGAATGAAGCAGTTGTGTGTGTACTCCACCGTCTCCACACTCTCCAGCCTCTCTGTTCATGGCCCAGCAAGCCACCTTCGAGATACCCTTTTCATCCCCTTCATACCGTCCTCCAAGCTCCCTCCTCTCAGTCCTACACCTGTTGGCTAGAAGGACCCCACTGATTCCGAGGAGAGCTCCACAGCACCAGAGCTGAGCAGGCTGATATCAAGGAGACATGATGTCAGGATTCTTGAGTTGAGCTCCATTTCTCCAAGGACGGAACGAGTGTCATGGCATGGCATTACAGAAGACGGATGTAGATGAGATCACTGACTCTCAGCCTTAGCTGTGCTTCAGGGTCAGCCGTGGAGATTTACACAATTATATTATTAAGCTCCATCTTGGGAAATTCTGATTCAGAAGGTCAGGGGTGTAATTCAGAGGCCTGTTTAGAAAATCCATAGTTGATTTTGCTGCAACCAAGCGTGAAAACCACTGGACTAGATCATTGGAAAATTGTATTGAAATTAAAATTGTGTGTCAGTTGAAGGTGGGCCAACATTTGGAGTGGCCTCATTGAATGGTTTTAAAATCACAGGGCATTTGGCTGTGTTTTTGTTTTTTCCTAGATGCGGGGAAGGTGCTAGCTGACACTGGAGGCATTTTCTAGTCAGGATTTCCCTTGTATGTATCCCACGGTGCATGTCTGAGGGCAGGATGTGGGCATGCAGATGAAGCATTTGGGCATGCTGATGGAGCAGCAGGTGAAATGCTTGCTCCAACACGTGCCCCTTCAGCTAAAGTCTCGTGCAGTTGTAGAATCTCAAGGGCACAGGAAATCCTAAAAGTCACTTTGGGTAGCTCCCTCCCACTTACCGCCTGAGGACTGTCTACAGCATCTTTCTCCATTTGTTTTCCACTTGACATGTTTACTTGCCTGAATTAAACTATGTATTTGATTTTCAGTGATGTGTGGCCCTCTTATAAACCAAACATAGACTCTTTAGTAGAATCTGAAACCCTCGACCTTGGCCATGTGATTCAAAATCTTTTACATTGGTGGACGATTCCAGCCTTCATCCTTACAGCCTGCTGGCTGCTGTCCCTGCCAGCCCAACACCTTCAGGAAGGATCTTAACCTATGGTTGCCCAATTTGAGTAAAGCCTGTCCTGCACTTCTCCCAGCACTCTGGTGCAGCAGACAGAGTGAGCCATGCCAGGCTAAGCAGCACTTTTTCTGGTTTAGAGTGAGCACAGTAGCCAGGGAAATGATTCACAGAGATCCCCTGCACCTGGGGCAGGGCTCTGAGGTGTAGAAACTTTCCCTCCTTGGCTCCCAAGCCACTGGGGAATCTGCCACAGAGCCTGCAGTGTCCACAGGAACATGTCAGGAAAGCTGAACATGAGTTTCCATGTTTCCGCTGCTGATGACGGGACAATCAGCAGGAGGGAGGCAGGTCACCCGTGTGACAGACAGTTCATCTCCCCACTGTGCAGTAACAGCTCGCCCTGCTGCTCAGCCTCAATGGCCTACAGCCGGGCTGTTCTTCTTGCCTGCTAGTCCCTTAACACAAGGAGTCCAAGAGGATTCTTGTTATGTCCCCTGGGAAAAGCCTGCTCATTTTAGGGACCAGGACTCTTAAACCCATAAATCCCACAGCTTCAGAAAGCAGGAGGGTCCCGAATAGGGTCCTGGGAGTGTAAGCATATCTCCTCTGAGTCTACCCTTCATTTCTAACTCACTGTGCTTCCTGGGGTCACAGTACCACTTAAAGGTACCAGAGGATGATGCCCTGTCCTCTTATATGATAGACGCTGACTCTGAGTTGACACAGTAGTGTGCCCTCAGCAGCCATTTCCATTCCATTCCTGTGGTAGCTTCTGGCAGGCATGGTCAGGGGATGTGTGCTGAACTCCACAGTCATACGTCTGCTCCCACACCTCCTTACTGGAAATTAACTCTCTTGGTATGAGGATCTGATGCCAGTGAATTTGGCATCCCATACCTACCCAGGCAATGTTGCTCTCTAGTTCCTACAGGCAGGAGAGGCAAACCTGTAGCTAGAATGTGTGTCTGTTCTACCTGAATGAATTGCTGGCCTGTCTAGGATGAAAGGGGTCTAGTGTTGCTACCAGTTGGCCAACTGGTCACACTCAGTGCTGGTCTTGGCTGTTAGCACTATAGGCATTTGGCAGTAGGACTGGCTGTATCAGCCTTGGTGTGTGGGGTCCCATAGTGCCGAACCCCAAATTGCCCCCATATCCCTGCTACCATGACGGCTGTTCCAGGTGGCCAGCAGCAGAGGCTGAGTGACATCACGGGGCACAGTCCTGCATCACCTGGTTGCTTATCACCTGTTCTCAGATGGGCATTCACGTGGGATACGGAGGCTCTCCCACATGTCTGCCCACGTGCCCCTCTCCTGGACTCATGTGCCCCGGGTCATCCAGCCTTTCTCCCTCCCAGTTCCTGGACAGCTGGCCACATCATTTGCCCCTGCCTTTAAGTTCATGTCTGTTCTGTCCTGAGGCCATTTCTCTTCTGGTACAGAGCGGAGGACCAGGTGCACTGCCTGAAGCTCTCTCTTTGGGAAGGTTTTTGGCCACCACCCTCCTTCAAGGCCACCCCGAGTGGCTGTCATGCAGTTGCAGCTGAGGCAGTCCCCAGAGGGCCGGGAACTAAAGCCTGCCAGCCGCATCCTCCCAGGAGGGAGGATGGTCAGGCAGCCTCTTTACTGGCTGCCAAAGTGTGCCCAGGCCTTCCTTGCCCCGGGTTAACCCAGTCATGAAAGGCATGCAGGTGGCGAGCAATGGAAATGAAGTCCGGTGTCCCAGTGCTGCAGGGCTGAGGGGCCTGGGGACCACAGCCGCTCTGGCATCCCGGGTCTAATTAGCACATTTTCTTTTGGAAGCTTTCCCAGGACACCTTTCTCTGTTCAGAAACAGGGCTACTCTGCAAGAACCCGACACAAGATGATGACGGTGTCACATCGTTACAGACAGAATGCCTCAGCGTGCTTCATACTCCTCCATATCTGGTCCCCACCCAAAATATTCTCTGTCCCCTTCGGCCGGCTGCCTGGGCACTGAGTGATCCTGATTGCAACCTGGGTAGGCAGCTGGTTCCCCCAGCAAGGAGTCTGTCATCTGATCCAAACAGCCCCCTTCAGCTCCCATGACACTTGTGAATGTGGCCTCTATGCAAGCCAGAGGCGGTATCCGTGCAACAGTCACTCTCATTTCCCTCTCCCCGCTCCTTGCTACTTCCTACCCTCCTTCCCCATTTCTCCCCAGAAGCAGCAGAAAGCTTCCATGAGATGAACAACTTTGTTCCCCAAATGCCTTCTGGTCCCCAAACAAGAAGGCCTCCAGGGGGACAGGAGCTCCCTTTCAATTTCAAAGGGTTCCTCACCCCAGACCAGGGCTGTGGGCACAGACTGGCTCCTCCTACCCAGCTGGGAAGGGGCTCCCCAGGCAGGGTTCAGATCCCAGGTTTGTGAGAAGATGCTCTGAGCTCCTACCTGGTCCTCCAGCTTCTAGAGAAGGCAGGGTTTGCTGTGGAATCGAGGGATCAGATTCCCACATCAGCTCTGGCGAGATGTTCCTCTCACCGAGGGATTGCAGTAAGGTCACTGCCGGCGGTGCACTGAGACTCCAGGGCCCAAAGGAGTCACACTGTGGTGGGAAGAGAGAGGGGAAAGGTGGTGACAGGCTGGAATCAATCACAGCGGCCTTCTAAAGAGGTTAGAAAAAGGAACCCCTTAAATGTGGCCCCCACACAGACACACACGGGCGGGGAATCACAGGAAGTGGCATCCTCACTAGTCCCCATTCCTGGTGTATAAAATCTGTACCCAAGTCCCCGTGTTCTCTGTCACGGCGCTCCCAGTATAGATGTCAAGGAAGTCACCATGGTTGTAAGTAGGAATTTGGGAGCCGGAAGGCTGGTGTGTGGAGCAGACCTGCACACAATGGCCCCACAATGGACCAGATTTTCACTCAAAGCCATTGAGAGGGAAAAATAAGTTCCTTATGTGAAGTTCTGGGTTTGCCAAGAGGCATTTGATAAAAGCCAGGGAAACACAGTAGTAGGTCTGTCACCACAGGACTCCCCTATCTGGCCCCACTCTGCTGATCTCAGAATGCCCAGCTGCCTCGCAGGTGTAACGGAGACCAAACGGCAAGTCCTGTGGCCTGAACACACCCAGTGCAGAGAGCTCCGGCCTCTAGCCACGCCTGGAACCTGCACTTCTTCCCTGCAGAACCAAGAAGCCCAGACACGACCTGACTGTGCGAACCCTTCCAGAGGCAAGGGGTCTGCTGGCTAGGAGAATCTGTGCTGAAATCCCCCTCATCTTTCCTTACAATCATGGGTCAGATTTGAAGCCCCGATCAGTCCCCACAAGCCAACATTCCTAAATCCTTTCCCTCACTCTCCAGCCCATTAAAACTCACCCCAGACCCCAGATCTGGGAGATCAGATTTGAGCTGCCTCTCTTATCTCCCTGATGGTCAACCTCGCAGTAAAGCCCTTTCTTTCCTCAGAAACCCGTACCATGGTATTGGCTTCTATGCACGTAGAGCATGAGCCCCTTGCTCAGTAACATAGATATTTTTCATTCAAAGCTCCCATCAGAGCGGCTGGTCCCAGTAAAGCCCAGGCCCTGAGTGCAATCCTGTCTGTGAAAGGCTCCAGGAGGGTCTAGATGGCTCCACCCCACATGCGTACACTGCATGACTGCAGCTGTGTCTGCCTGGCATTACTGGCACACGCTGCTCCCCGCTGCTCACAGGTTTTCTGCTTAGGGCCTAGGCTCCTCCTGTCCACCCGCTCCCCCCACGGCTCTCCAGGTTGCGGCCACCCTAGCTCTGAGAGGAGAGGGAGACAGTGAGACGGACCATTTCTGTGAAGACTCTGCTGCAGGTTCCTCCTGGGCAAAGAGCACAGCCATTTCTGCTTTTTCCCCACCTTTTGAGCTCGATGGACTTGCAGAGCTGAGGCTGCCTCAGGGCAAAGCCATTCTGCCTCTTGTCAGAGCTCATTCTCACCTTTCCCTGTCACCTCTCTGATTCTCTCACAAGCAGCAGCCTCTTCATAAAACTTCTCCCCTGCCCCAATCTCCCAGCACTGCCCCTCCCCATCTGTACCTGGAGCCCAGGAGAAGAGGCCTGGGCTGAGCCTGCATCTATAGGGAGGAATTCCAGTCCCAGGAGCCACCTCCTTCCAGGCCCTTGGTCCCTGTAGTCCCAGCTCCCGACTGGCCCAGAACCCAAGGTGCCTACCGTGGGGGCTGCTGCTGTCCCCTGAGTGGTCTGCGCTGCAGAGCAGGACAGGAGATGCCGGGGCTCTCTTTGCAGCCTCCTCTCTTGGGGGCCAGAGGTGCAGCAGGCTGGGGAGGGAGGGCAGAACTCAGGCGTGCATGGCTGGGGGTCCTGGTGGGCTGGAACCTTCCTGCAGGGGTGGGATTGAGCTCACCCAGCTCCACATGCCTATCCCACTCTCCTGACTCCTATCACTCCTGGGAGTTGCCTGTCCAGCGCATTCAGGATTATTAGACAAAGCAGGACCGGAGCCCCTTCCAGAGTTAGGCGAGCCTGCTTGGCTTCATGCATGGGCCTTAATTAGAAAATTCATCTTAGCCACACAACAAAATGAGATTGAGGCTTCAGCGACAGCTAATCCTTTGTAGGAAATGAAAGATGCCCTTACAATGAAGATTTATTTTATGTTAGCTTTTCCCCAAGCACTCTTAACTGACTGAGTAATGTAGTAATGATTACTCTGATATTTCCACATGCGCTTTTAAGAATTTATAAAGTCATCTGTCTTCTGAGGAGCCTGGGGAGCTACTTGAGTGGTACAGTGAAAATGGAAGAGGGGAGAGGCTCCTACCCTTCTGAGACTTCAGAAGAATCAATTGCAAAACATCTCTTGGAGTTTGGAGACTCGGGGAGCAGGTGTGAGGATAAACTTCCCACAGAAGCAACCCTGGGATGGTGACTAAATATCCATCAAGTCAATGACAGGTGGCTTGGATGGGGGTGGGGAGACAGTGAGACCAGAGCAACAGGCCTCTGAAAAGGGAATTGGATGCAACGTCAGGGAAAAGTCGACTTGGATGCAACCTCAGGAAAAAGTCGCCATCCCAGGGCTTAGAGGGGAGGGTGTGGCCCAGTCACGGGAGGCTCCTGACCACTGCTGAGGGGACGACACAGAGGGCCTGCCCAGGGTAAAGCATGCACTAAGTGGTCCCAGCAGCCCCTGCGTGTGTAAGTGTGCATGTGGTCATGTACACACATGTGCATGTGTGTGGGCATACCTATGTGAGTGCATGTGTGTTTGTGCACATAAGTGTGTGTGCACGTGTGTGTAGGGCATGGAGGGTGTGGGATAAAAACGGAGGCACTGGCCCCTGAAGGCCTTTCAGATATGGATCCCATAAGCACTGGGAAGCCAGGGAGGGCAGACGTGGAAGGCTGCAGAATCAGAAACGCAGCCTCCTGGGGAAGGGCCCTGGGACCCCATGAGCCAAGCTGTGGGTTGCTCATGGCACACTGCTGACTTCCTGCCGGCTTCCTCTGGAAAGCTCGTTGAGATCCTTCCCTCCAGTTCTTCCCTGGCCCACGCCCTTCCTGCACACATACTACAGTCTCCTCTCTGCTCTGCGAGAGCCAGCTCATCTCCACTGCCGCTGGAGACAGGCAGCCTGGGGAGCAGTCTAACAAAACGGTCTCCAGAGGCGCAATCCCACAATGTGTGAGGGGAGGGGTCCCGGCCTGCGGTGGGGTGGAGGGGTTAATTACTGGGGCCTGGCAGGTGTCCACACAGGGCCGTGTCGACTTCTAGATCTCCAAAGAAGGCCTGGAGCTGCTGTCTCTCCGGAGCCAGGCCTCACTGCTGCAGGCCTGCAGTAGAACCCTATGGGCCTTCCTAAGGTTTCAAGTGGGGCTTTTCCTAGATTGGGTGTTCACTGGTTGCTGTAGACCTTGGACTGTTTTCCAGAGCTCCTAGAAGGTTCGTTCAGCCACTTCTGGTTGTTCCTGATGTTGGAAGTCAGGGGACGGGGGTTTGCAGTCTTCCAGTTCACCATGTGGACAATGTCTCTCCCTTAAACCTTTTACTACGTAGGCCCTCAGATCTTTCCTTTATCACATTTGTAACCATTTGGCACAGCAATATTTCTCTTTTTATGTTTTTTAACTTCTGACGAGTCAATTTGCGTTTCAGTTTGCTTTCCACAGAACTTTAATCTGAAGGATTTGATGTTGTGTAGTCATAGGACTAAAGCTAGCTGTAATGACACTCACATAAAGAAGAAAGCTGTGTGAGTGCATAGCTGCATTTGTAGACAGTTCTCTTTGCCATTTAGAGGAAGTGCAGGGAATCGTCCAGAGCAAATATCCCCCTTGGGGCCACATCGCCGAACACATTTTGGATAGTTGTTCTTCTGTTTATTGGGCAAAGTGAGACTTCTTTTTTCCCTTCAAGAGTCTTCTGCCTGTGAATCTGTGAAGCATGTTTGTCTGTCCGTGCTCCTATTCAAGAACACAGGCCTTTCCGGTCATTTATTGAGAGAGCCATGAGTGCTACTCTAGTTTGTTTACTTTGAAAACTACCTGGAAATGTCTAGCTATATTCTGTTTATTTTTATTTAAATAATCTAATTACTATTTGAGCCTGTTTATAAAAAGAGAGCACGACTCTTCATCACAGAATACGGTGCAATAGTCGTTTGAGTCATGCCTTCTACCTATGTTTAGTTTATATGTTGGGATCTGCGTTTAGTCCACACTCAAAAAAAGAAAAGTCTTCTCAAATTGTCTAGTGTGGTTATATTTACCTTTATCTCTGTTGTAACAAACTGCCAGAAACACAGCGGCTTAAAACTAAACGAATTTATTATCTTACAGTTCTGAAATTCGAAAGGTAAAAGGTGCCTCACCAGGCTAAAACCGAAGGCGTCAGCAGGGCTGTTTCCTTCTGGAGTCTCAGGAGAAGCTGTGGCCTTGCCTTTCCAGCTTCTAGGGCATCCGCATTCCTTGGCTGGTGGCCCTTCCACATCTTCAAAGCCAGCAATCTTGGGTTGACTCTTCCTCAAACTGAATCACATCAACATGGACTCTTTTGCCTTCCTCTTCCAATGTAAGGCCCCTGTGATTATACTGATCCCACCTAGATAATCCAGGATAATCCCCCTTTTTAAAAATCAGCCGATTTAGCTACCTTAATTCCATCCCAATCTTAACTTCCCTTTGCCATGCAACTTAACTTATTTGCATGTTCTGGGATTAGGATGAGGACACCCTTGGGGCAGACAGTATTTAATTTTGTTTATCACAGTCGTGTTTTTCTACTTTTATTGTTTAAATCATTTGTATTACTTTTAAAATTTTACACATATGGTTGATTTAATCTTGTGTCTTTTGTCTTTCCAAGTAATTCAACTGTTGTCTAGCATATAAATATTCTAGGCCAGGTGTGGTGGCTCACGCCTGTAATCACGACACTTTGCGAGGCCGAGGTGGGCTGATCACCTGAGATAAGGAGTTCGAGACCACCCTGACCAACATGAAGAAACCCCATCTCTACTAAAAATAAAAAATTAGCCGGGCATGGTGGTGCATGCCTGTAATCCCAGCTACTCAGGAGGCTGAGGCAGGAGAATAGTTTGAACCCAGGAGGCAGAGGTTGCGGTGAGCCAAGATAGCACCATTGCACTCCAGCCTAGGAGACAGAGTGAGATTCCATCTCAGAAAGAAAGAAAGAAAAAGATTCTAACAAAATCCTGAATTCTATAGAAAGAGAGATACAGGGAGGGTATGTTTCAGAGGCCATGGAATCTTTGAGACGCACAATCTTTGAGTTAGAATGTTGAGACCCCAGCCTACCAATGACAAAGCTGACTTTTGGATATTTGGTGTTTTGACTCTTGATAATGTTGGAATTTCTTGTAAGATAAAAATTCATTCATTTTGACATTTCAAAGCATTCCCATAATAGCCATTGTTACAGTAAGTCTTTTAATTTTTATTGTCATTTATCAATATAGTACAAGAGCAAAGATTATAGTGCAACTTTATAAAGGAAGCAGAAGTGTTTCCAGGAGGGGTTAGGAAAATTGCTGCCGGAGCTCAGTGAGTTACTGCCCTCAGGCCACGTCCCACCTGCCACCTGCGTTTGTAAATAAAGTTTTATTGGAACACAGCAAGACCATTTGTTTATGTAGTGTCTATACCTGCTTTTGTGCTACAAAGGTGGAGTTGAAGAGTTGCCCCAGAGATGGTGTAGCCCACAAAACCTACACTGCTTACTATCTGTTCCTTTACAGAGAAGTTAGCTGAAACCTGATAACAAATTCATGACAAACAAGAAAAAGACACCATGGTGTCACTAATGTGGGCTGTGAATGGTGTTTTGGGCTTTCAAACCAGAGGAGAGGAGGGAGCCATGCAATTAATTCCTTGATAATTGCTGACTCCAAGATATGAACTTTTAGTAATTTTCTCTCACAAATTGACAAAATGAGGCGTGCCCGCGGGAAGATCTTCTGGGGAACCCAAAGCAAAGTTTGAGCAATTCTTAGTAACAAGCATGTTGCAGGTCTAATTTCTGCCCTATGTTCCTAGGACAAGCTTGGAATTGATTGATTACTTTTATAGTCTACCCTCCATCCATTCCCCATGGAACACTTTCTTAAACATTCAAAAGAAAAAGGACAATTCAAGACAAAACAAAACCACATGAAACAAGATTTTATCACATAGATAAGCAAAAGCAAAGCAAACAGCAGGAAATAATCTGGTTAATAAAAAATATTTTCTAAATACTATGTTTCCAAAACAAAACAGCTAATAACCTTATATCAGCAGTTCACAAGTGGGGCAATTTTACACCTCAGGGAGCGTTTTGCAGTGCCCTGAGACGGTGTTGTTGGCTACATATGAGGAAGTAGTGTGTAGTGAGTGAGTAATTTTATGCTGCTTTTGCATCCATTTTTAAATATAGCTTTAATTTTTTTATACCTCTGTGAAGCAGGGCTCAGTCACTCTTGACACAGTTTCCCATACTATAACCACCCAAATGGCAGTAGCTGGTGGACAGAGATAAACAGCAGAGGCATCTCTCCTGCCTGGCAGGCTGGGCTCCACTTTCCTGCCTTGCCTTTAAAAGGGCCATTCAGACATTTGCCTGAAACTCAAAGGGACCACCTCTCAGTCACAGCGTGACCTCCTGGAACTCATGCCGGTTGGCTTTAAACCCACCAATTAAAGCTCCCACAGGACATCTCTTGGGAGTGGGTCCCTTCTCTTGTTGTGTCCTTGAAGCTGTGCCCAGAATCAGACCCCTGAAGGGCAGCAGCTCTTTTGTCTGGGCCTCCCAGCTGCTGGGAATAGCAGTTACCAGCTAAACTGATATAGCTTCATTCAAAACAGGTTGCTGGTTGAATCTAGTGGGTAGAGACCAGAAGTGCTTTTAAACAACCTACAGTGCACAAGACCACAGCAGAGATTTACCAGTCCAAAACGGTGGTAGTGCTGACATTGAGAAACCCGGCTTTATTCAAAAACTTAGGTCTAATTACTGAATGGTGTACTTCTAAATCAAAGTTCTAATTACTGAATACAAAGGCCTATGGCTAAGTACCCTTTACAAAGACTTAATTCTGTCACCCTTATATGAAGACCTGCTTGGTTACAAATTCTGGGACTTCAAAATAATCTGGTAGAATGTTCGAGAACTGTCAAAGGTTGATGAGGGCAACATTTACTATCTGAAATAAAAGGGCAAGGTTGAGTTAACTGCTTACTATAGTAAAAGAGAGCTATGGGAGTCAGGTACAGTCTCTGAGCAGCGTAAGGGGTGATCTCACAAAGGTTTACTACAGTAATGGAGAGCTATGTGAGTCAGGCACCATCTCTCTGAGCGGCGTAAGGGGTGATCTCACAAACGTTTACTATAGTAAAGGAGAGCTATGTGAGTCAGGCACCATCTCTCTGAGCGGCGTAAGGGGTGATCTCACAAACGTTTACTATAGTAAAGGAGAGCTATGTGAGTCAGGCACCGCCTCTCTGAGCGGCGTAAGGGGTGATCTCACAAAGGTTTACTACAGTAAAGGAGAGCTATGTGAGTCAGGCACCGCCTCTCTGAGCGGCGTAAGGGGTGATCTCACAAAGGTTTACTATAGTAAAGGAGAGCTATGTGAGTCAGGCACCATCTCTCTGAGCGGCGTAAGGGGTGATCTCACAAACGTTTACTATAGTAAAGGAGAGCTATGCGAGTCAGGCACCGTCTCTCTGAGCGGCGTAAGGGGTGACCTCACAAAGGTTTTCAGTGGATGAAAGAGCACTGCTCTCATCTGCAGACGCAGGGTTATTGCTGTCATTGGCTGGCACTGGGAGGCATGTTTATTGGAGGCTTTCCAGGCCTAACTTTCTGGGTGGAGGGCCTGACCCCAGTCGGCTTGCAGAGATGTGTTCACTGAAGATTGCGGTCTTGACCGCTTGAGCAAATTTAAAATTAGTTCTGTGGGCAACTTGTAACCATGGCTAGGCAACAGTCTTTCCTAAAGTTGTAGGATTACAAAAAAATTATCAGATGCCTTCACTCTCAACTGCATTTCAACTGACTTGGTCATAGAATCAAAATTTTTGCCATGGTCTACAAGGACCTCTGCAGTCTGGCCTTGGTCCCTCTCCCGTCACCCTCTCTGTCCTTTTCACTTATGAAGCTCCAGCGTCTCAGAACAAGCCAAACCCTTCCCACCCTCAGGACCTGTGCACCTGCACATCTCTCTTTCAAGAATGCCAGTCCCTCACTTCATGTGGCTGGCAACTTCTCATTGCTGGATCTCAGCTCAGAGATGTTAGCATTAGAGAACCTTTTCTTGGCCACCTGGGATTTAGAAGACTCAAGTCACCCAAACCCAGACACTTTCTTTCCTGACACTGTGCACTCCTTGCTATCTAAAGTTATTGTATTTGGGTCTCTGTCAACTCATCTCCCATCACTCGAGACCACTGCTTCCAGATTGTTAGCCCGATGAGGGCAGGGCCTTTCCTGTCTTATTAATGCCTGCATCCCCAGCACCAAGAAACAGCCACGTAGAAAGTTCTCAATAAATATTTACCATGTCACAGTTCAATTAGAGAATGAATGTATGAATACATAGCTGGGTCACAGCTTCTTAACCTGAGAAATTAAGGTCTCCATATAACTCATCTCTGAGGTCTCTCACAGTGCAAAGAGGGAACAAGGTTATGCCTCATACAACACCAAGAGAAACACACCGAGGTCCTGCCCTGCAGGGTCTGCCTGCGCGGTGGAGAGGGCTGCAGTAGGGGGAGGAACAAAGAGCGGTAGGAATGGAGACGAGGGGTTTTGTGTAGCTTGCAGGGTGTTAAGAGGGTGCTGGGGAGAGCTTCAGGCCAGGGCCGTCATTCCTTCTAGTTGGTCTTAAAAAATGTGTTGAACTTGTCCAGGTGTGGTGGCTCATGCCTGTAATCCCAGCACTTTGGGAGGTCGAGGCAGGTGGATCACCTGAGGTCGGGAGTTTGAGACCAGCCTGACCAACATGGAGAAACCCCGTCTCTATCAAAAATACAAATTAGCCAGGTGTGGTGGTGCATGCCTCTAATTCCAACTACTTGGGAGCCTGAGGCAGGAGAATCACTTGAACCCAGGAGACGGAGGTTGTGGTGAGCCGAGATCGCACCATTGCACTTCAGCCTGGGCAACGAGAGCAAAACTCCATCTAAAAAAAAAATGTGTTGAACTTGACTGGGTGAATGATGAAGCCAGGCTACTCAAGGGAAAGGAGGGACATGAAGATAGGACTTGGAAGTGAATGCCACCTGAAGAGAGGAAACAGACTGGTAACAGTGGGAGCAGGGGCGGGTGAAGGGTCTGCAGAAGGAGCAAGAACCATGTGTCGGTCTGAACTCGTAACGCTCCCTTTCTCTGCTGAGAAGATGCATCCAGAAGGCTTGGATTCTGCAGGCAATTTGGAGCCACAAAGGCTTTTATTAGAGGGGGACTTGAATTTTGGGGAAGGATGGTCGGTATTGTGTGAAGGATGGTGTGAATGGGGTGAGCCTAGCAGCTGGGGACCCCCTGTGAATAGCCCACAGAAATGACAAAGGCCTCAAATTTGCAGAGGCAGTAGGAATAGAGAGGGAGACAGGTTTCAAAAAATTAATAGAGAAACTTGACAAAATATGGTTATTTAATACACCTTTCACTCAATTGATTCTAAAATCTAAACTCAGTCTCTGAGATCAAACACTGTCAACGTGCCTGGCACAGCGCCTGGCTCCTGGGTCTGCACAGGTTGGTTGGACCTGAGCACGAATCAGTCCAAATGTGAACCTTTGGTTTGCTTCTTTTCAGAGCCAGGGAAAGCTGGCAAGGGACAATTGGAACCAAAAACAGCATATGTTCGAAGGAAGGTATTAAATTGGCTCAGATTTCTCATCTCTGGGCCAACATGAACTTTTACAGGCAAAAATTCTTGAATTTATGTAGAATTGCGTCTTGCCTGAGAAAGGTACATTTCTAACACCTTGAACCACAGAAAAGAGGAGGTGGCTGGACCCCTGATCACACTCAAGCTTCATCTAATGCCAAACAGAACAGGTTGGCCTCACCTTCAATCTTAGCTCTGTCTGACACTTACAGAGTCATCAAATGCCTTGGCTGTCTCGCCGTCTGGTGCTGTTAGGGATTATCTAAACAGGGAGAATCTCAGGAGCGGGAGGGGAGCTGAAACACATCTCCATGTGCAGAATGTGCAGGGACAGCCCCAGGCAGGTGGGCGTTTCTCTCGAGGGAAGTGAGAATCCAAGAAATGGAGAGATTAGGCAGCCATCTCAGGATTGCAAATCTAGTGTGTAGTAGGAGTGAGCTGGGGCTGGGAGTGGAGAACTGGACAGGCCTGAGTTATTACATACGCAGTTCCTAAAACCCTGCCGGACCTGTTCAGTACTGAAGGGTGCTTGGCTCACTCCTGGCCCCTCAGTGGGTCTCCCTCCCAGTGGTGAGCATTTCCTCTTGGAAGGTTTGCTCTTGTACTACTTTATCAAGGGAACTTTGATAAAGCTATGATGATGGGGCATCTTACTAATTTTCATCTTGACAGATTTCTTATGGAGTTTATTTAGTGACCCAGCTTGGAAAGGTATTCTGGGAGCCAGTGCCAATTCAAGGGGCAGGTGCTTGTATGTGTGTGTGTGTGTGCAGGTGCTGTGTGAGCACACAAGAGCACGCAAGGTGGGGTGGGGGGATGTTGGTGAGAGTTTGTCGCTGTGTATCCTGGCCATTTGCACATTATACAAGCATAGACAACATTAAGACTGGGCCTGTATGCTTGGGCGTTACTGTCCCCAGGGTCCCAGCCACCTGTGCTTTGCTCAACCCCTTGGAAGCCTGGGAGGATCAATAACTGGGTACCCGGCCCCCATCCTCAGGAAAGGCACACAGCCTGGCATAGAGAAAGCCCCATGTCAGGTTCTGCACCCTCCCTAAAGGTGAGCAGCAATGCTTTAGGGTAGAGAGGCGACCAGAAGCCTCAATAGAAACAAACCATGTTTGTTAATGATGATGGGGTCCCAGGAAAACATTTCTGCCTTTAAAATAATGATGAAAATTTTAAATGGATTTCTTTTGGTAAAAAGGGTACAGGACTCAGAGTCAGAAGGCCCAAGTGTGGGTATGTCCTATGAAAGGGAAATTATCTTGGGCTCCCAAAATCACTAAAGAAAACTTAAACTGGAAACTGCTTAGGGCAAACCTGCCTCCCATTCTATTCAAAGTCACTCCTCTGCTCACTGAGATGGATGCACATCCGATTTGCCTCCTTTGGAGAGGCTAATCAGAAACTCAGAAGAATGTAACCATTTGTGTCTCACCTATCTGTGACCTGGAAGCTCCCTCCCTGCTTCCAGCCTCCCCGCCTTTCCAGACCGAACAATGTACTTCTTACATGTTGACTGATGTCTCATGTGACCCTAAATGTGTAAAACCAAGCTGTGCCCCGACCACCTTGGGCATGTGTCGTCAGGACTTCCTGAGGCTGTCGCGGGCACGTCCTCAACCTTGGAAAATAAACTTTCTAAATTAACTGAGACCTGTCTCAGACTTTCTGGGTTCACAGTCCTATAGAGTTGACTATTTGTCTCTTGATCTTTGTGTGCTGTGTGCCTCAGTTTCCTCTCTCCCATCTACTAGTCACTCAACAAACACTTCCCGGGCATCTTTTATCTGTGGGGCACTGTGCTGGGCCTTAGGAGGAAACAGTTTCCTACAGGATAATATGGAAGGGGCAAAGAAGAGTCAAAGATAATCCCTACACATGGGTGGTTTACAATCTTATGGGGAGCTAATAAGTATACACAGATGGTAGTGACACACTGCCAGAAAAGATAAATCCATAGAAATGTTGTAAACAAAGTACAGTGGAGCCAAGAGGAAGAAACAATTACTTCAGAATGAGAGAACACATGTCTGGAAGGATCCACGGAGGAGACAGTATTTCAATTGACCTGGGAGGAGGAGGAGAAGAATTTCAATCAGGGAAAAGGAATTTGCAGTGAAGGGAACCTGCTGTCGTGCAGGGGCTGAGGCCACAGAATGGGCAGCTTCCCTGGCAGAGAAATCCCAGTGGAAAGCCAAGGGCATCAGGGTGCTCCAGGCCCAGCAAGGCACAGGGAGTTTGGAAAATGCTTCCTGGCAGTGGTGCAGGCTGGGTCTGTGCCTGCAAGGTGGCTGGTGACAGCCCTGCAAAGCAGGGAGCCCTCCTACTGGTGGCGGTGAGCTCGATGACTCAGTGCTCCATCCAGTCCTCCTGCTGCCCGAGGTGGTCAGTGCACGTAGAATGTGGCTGGGACCTCGGTCCTCCATCCAGTCCTCCTGCTGCCCGAGGTGGTCAGTGCAGGCAGAGCGTGGCTGGGACCTCAGTGCTCCATAGGGGCAGCCCTTCTGAGGAGGGTTCTTGGACGGCGTCTGCTCCTGGCACCTGAGTGTGCCTGGCTGCCACCTGAATGAGGCCTCCGTAAACACAGAGTCTACTGTGTGCAGGGCCTGGCCCGTGCCTCTACCTCAATGATATGCAGCCCCCACCCACCCTTCACTAACATGTCATGAAGTTGCCTTCTTTTCCTGCCTGGCCCAAGGCAGTCACCATTTGGGCCATTCATCTGAACAGACAACATCCAGATGCTGTCTCTTGGACCTGGTTTGGAAAACTGGGCAGAGGAGGTCTGTGTTCCCCGGGCCTTTTCCACATTGTCTTATTTCCCACTAATGGCTAACTCTCTCCAGGGATCCAGGAATCCAAGCCTGGAGAAGACCCCCTTGTCCTCCCTCTGCACCTGCTCAAGGCCAACCTGGCCAGAAAGCAGGAGGAGGGAGGGCTTCCGGAGCAGCATGAGAGGTGAGCTCCCTGGCAGCTCTGAGAAAGGATAGAGGGAGGCCAATGCATGACCAATGGCGACCAGCACTTACAAAGCCTCTGAAGGCACGAAGGACTTGCCATCTCAAATATGCTGGATTGGGGTACTGATTATTTCCAGTGGAAAACATTGAAGAAATTGTAGTTTCAGAAAGTGTGAACTGACCTGTCTCTTTCTACACGTGGCAAGCCATACAGCTTCCTCTGGGAGGGGTACCCTGTCCACACCAGGGCGAGAAAATAGCCCCCATTACCAGAGGCCGTGCACTGGGGCTGCAATGGACTGGCTGAGGTAACCTTCACCTTCCGCTAGTCGTCCACCCCCATACATGTCTCCTCGTGACTCTCCTGGAAATGTGCTGCCCCTAGCCAGATCCCCTGTGTCCTGTCATTTCGTCTCAAACACATCATTTTTGCCTAAAAAGTATATAAGCATCTTGCTTTGGCCACTTCTTTGGATCCGTTGTGAAGATCCCCACGCACATGTAAAGTCTACTTAGTGTCAATTTGGTTTCTAGATCCAGCCGAAGAGCCCACATCACAGCTAAGGGAGGATGGGGAGGGGGTCTCTGACTCCCCTACACCTCTGAAGGCTGCACTGAAGCCCACTCCCCATTACATGGCAACCTGGAGAGCCCAGCCCTGTCCCTAAACAGACAGAAACTGGGGGAAAGCAGTACAATTCATGTGTGTCAGAGAGATCCCCATCTGGTGCAGAATGACACCAAATTGTTCCTGTACCAGTTTCTCCAGGGCTCCTGCTGAACCCGCGCGATGGCAAGTCTTTAATGATGAGTGCCACCTTCCATGGGAATGCATGCCTGGCTCATTCTTAGTCTATCAGATTGACTTTATTGAGTGTGATAAAGGAAGTGTAGGGACCGGGAAGTTGTATATGTTCTCTTCACTGACGGCAGCCTGGGACAGGTGAAAACACCCAAACTTAAGCCAGCCAGACCTGAGCTCCAACACTGCAATGTCATAGAAATGCTACCTGTGCCACAAGAAGTTTGAGAGAACTCAACATTCTACATATATATGTATATAATGTATGTGGCACCTGCTCTGAGCCAGACACGCCTGACCTCAAGTGATCCACCCTCCTTGGCCTCCCAAAGCGTTGGGATTATAGGTGTGAGCCACCGCACCCGGCCCTTTTACTTATTTTAGGTTGGTGCAGTAAAGCTCCAGATAAATATATGGAACAATGATAGTGCTTAGTGAGAAGGAAGGAAAGATTGTGTCTCAAAAAATGCAATTTCATCTCTCTGGATAGCAGTGAATTACCTCAATTCACCTATGTGGAAACTCTGTGATACTGAATAAAAACACCTTCTTCTCAGCCCACACTGGTCCTAAGTGCCTGAGGGGATGTGAGTTGAGGAGAAAATGACAATGAGGTTTTGACTCTTCTGCACAACTCCCCAGGGCCGCTTATCACTTCCCTGGTCTTAATGTCACTTCCTTGAATAATCACCAGATTCCTCCATTGATAGAAACTTGCAAACATGGCAATAGGGGAGCATTTAAGTATTTATGCTGTGACACTTCACCCTGAAAAGGAAGTGGTTGTCATTAGAATCACTCGTGACATGGGCATGCAGATGGAGGAGAATCGTGGGCAGGAGGGCGCCTACCACTCATCCAGGCCTGGAAGGAGAATAACGTCTGTGTGTGTGTGAGCCCCAAGGCTCCTGCTCATTGCAGAGGGAACGCAGTGGTCATGCCTGGCCCCCGCTGGGCTCAAGACAACAATTCTGCCTGGGAGTCTGGAGTCAGCTCTGGAAGCTGTGTGGAAGTCACAGAGGAGGGACTCCACGTGCCATCATCCAGGTTGGTCTTGGTGAGCCCTGCAGTTCCAAATGCTCAACTAACACTATAATATCCCTGACTGACCATGAGGATTCCCCTGAAATGCACCATGCCCTGGATTCCTAATGCACAGCTGAGGTCCTTCTTCCTTTCACATATCCTCCTGCCTTGAGAAGAGTTCGATTCAGTCCTCCCCACCCCCATGGATGGGCACCCAGCCAGGAGACAGAACCCCAGACCAGTCCACTGCAGGGAGTCTCCATTTATCTGTCTCCCACCACAATGCTTACCATTTCAGGGAGTGCTTGAGGAAGCTGCTAGGGGCCTCCCCAGAGAAAGCTTGACAGCTGACTCCTCTGAGGGATAGGCTGTGTTCTGGGTTGCTTATTCTGATCTGGACCACCACATCCCTGCCTTCTGGGCAGATAATTACAGAGAGTCAGTGTCCAGCTCAGGGCAGTGGTGGGGAAGGGTGCAGGCCACAACCAGCCTTACATCTGGGCCCTGGCAGGAGGTTCTTCTAGAGGAGGAGCAGAGA
Source organism: Homo sapiens (assembly GCF_000001405.40). Taxonomy (NCBI): domain Eukaryota; kingdom Metazoa; phylum Chordata; class Mammalia; order Primates; family Hominidae; genus Homo; species Homo sapiens. The sequence goes on from NT_187581.1 coordinate 86,028, forward strand.
GCAGAGGTTGCAGGTGGCAGACAGTGGTCCTCAGAAAGGAGCCCAAGATGCCTGTGGTCACTGTGCTTTGAGGGTGGGAGCTCTCCACTGCTTCAGTGTTCCAGGGTAGTCCCAGCCTACTGCAACCCTGGGCGGCAGGGTACCCTGCCCTGGGGTAAGGCTGAGAAACTGGCTAGTACAACACCAAATGTGACCTTGTAGGGTAATGTGAGAGCCAGGGATTTTAAATGCAGGTGCAAGCTTATGGCCTAGCTGTGTTTCTCTCCCTCTCCCCATGATTTCTAAGGACTCTTTACCATAGTAGGATAAGATGAGAATATCAATATTTAATTCTCATATTTGTTTCCAATATTCTGTTGGTCTGTTTCCCTTTTACCATCATTTATGTTATTTGTGAAGCACAGAAGTTAAAAAATATTGCATTCAAATAAACGGATTGCAAATATTTTCTCCTTTTCTGTGAGTCGTGTCTTCACTCTATTGATTATTTTCTTTAGTGTGCAGAAACCTTTTGATTTGATGTAATCTCATTTGTCTATTTTTGCTTTTGATACCTGTGTGTGGAATACAACATGCTTTTTCTAGCTTTATTGAGGCATAATTGACAAATAATGATTGTGTATATTTATGGTACATGATGTGATGATTTGATATATGTGTACATTGTGAAATGATTGCCACAGTGAAACTAATTAACAAATCCATTACCTCACATAATTATCCTTTCTGTTTGTGGTTAGAACATTTAAGATCTATTTTCTTAGCAAGTTGCAGGTACGTTATGATTAACTTTTGTCACCATGCTGTACAATAGATCTCCAGAACTTAGTCCTCCTGCCCAACTGAACCTCATGTCCCAAAAATCATTGCCCAGACCAATGTCAAGGGGCTTTTTTTCCTGTTTTCTTCTAGAAGTTTTATAGTCTCAGGACCCAAGTCCTTACCCATTTTGAGCTGATTTTTCTATGCAGTGTGAAGTAAGGGTCTAATTTCGTTAGTCCACATGCAGATAGCTGGTTTCCCAATGTATTTTATTAAGAAGATTGTCCTTTCCCATGGTTTATTCTTGGCACCTTTGTTGAAAATCAGTTGACCATAAAGGCATGGGCATATTTCTGGAGTCTGTTGTGGAGTCTATTGTGGTCTGTTGTGTTCCACTGGACTTTACGTCTGTTTTTATGTCCGTTAACATCCAAAATACAAAAGGAAGTCAAACAACTCAATAGCAAGAAAACAACATAATTTAAAAATGGGCAAAGAACATGAATAGACATTTCTCAAAAGATATACAAACGGCCAATACATTTATGGAAAAAAAAGCTCAACATTAATAATCATCAAGGAAGTTCAAATTAAAACCACAAAGAGAAACTTCTTCACACCTGTTAGGGTGGCTATTCTAAACCAACCAACCAACCAAAAACAAACAAACAAAAAACCCAAGATAACAATTATTGAAGAGGATATGGAGAAAAGGGAAGCCTGTTGGTGAGAATGTCAATTAGTACAGCCACTGTGGAAAAAAGTCTAGAGGTTCTTCAAAAAAATTAAAAATAGAACTATTATATGATCCAGCAATTCCACCTCTGGGTATACGTTCAAAGGAAGTGAAGTTAGGATGTCAAAGAGATGTCTGCACGCTCATGTTCATTCCAGCATTATTCACAAGAGCCAAGACATTAAAACAACCTAAATGTCCATTTATAGATGAATGAACATGAAATATTATTCTGCCTTGGAAAATAAGAAATCTTGTAATTTATGACAACTTGGATGAACATGGAGGACGTTGCGCTAACAAAACAAGCCAGGCACAGAAAGACACACACGATATGACTCACAAATACCACATAATTTATACATGGAATTATAAAAAGGTGAACTCATCGAAGCCAAGAATTAAATAGTAGCTTCCAGGATCTACGTGGAGCAGGGAACGGGAAGGTGTTACAAAGTTTCAGGTAGGCAGGAGGAGTAAGTTCTGGAAATCTGTTTTACAAGCTGGTGACTACAATTAATAATAATGTACGAGACACTTGCAAATCCCACCCCGGCCTGCAGAGGCGCTGTCCCGCCCCCAACCCAACCACGGGCATTTGCAACACGGGCGGAAAAAAGAACCAAAACTTCCTAAGGCCCCACTTTTTTCTAAAAGGTACTTTAAAAAAAACTTGTTTGTATTTTTTGTTTACATTTTACATTTGTGTACACATGGTTAGGGTCAGCCGTTTTTGATGATCTGGAATGACCAAACCAGCCTTCAGAGTGCGCTCTGTCCTACTTCTTGACTTTGCCTGTGGTGTAACCATGCTCACTACAACCTCAAGAAAAAACCTTGTAGGAAAATAAAAAACGGCAACAAAATGCCAATCTTCTTCCGAGCATTCCAGTAACTTGTTAGTGTGTGTACTTAGCTGTACTTACCATAAGTGGTTGGTTCCTATGAGACCGTTTAAAAGGCCAAAAATAAAAGGTCTTTTTTTTTTTGTCCATGAAGATGCTGTTTATTTATTTATTTTTAGCCTGTTTGATGTAAATGTGAGACAGTGTTATCCAACAATAAGCAGGAATTTTATTTTGTTGAGTTGTTCTTAAGCAACAAAAACAGTAACTAAAAAACCCTCGGGGTCAGATTACATGATCTGAGACACTGCCGAACTTAACATCCAAGAAGCGCAGGCTTTGTGGCGGGTCTTTGCAGAGTGATGATTTTACTCTGATTTTACTCTGGGGTGAATGGAGTCCACTATTCCCTGGGGCAATGTTTTTTCTCCTCCCCTCTGAACTCTCCCAACCTCTGTGGTTGCCAGATAAAACACAGGATGCTCAGTAATTCGTTTAATTTTCAAGTAAACAACAAATACTTTTTCAGAATAAGAAGGTCTCAAATATTTCATGGGACACACTTACGAGAAAATATTACCTGTTTATGTAAAATTTAAATTTAACTGTGTACTCTGTATTTTTAAATAATTGTTTCATTTTAGAGTAGCTGGAGAATATATGTTGCCAATATGGTGCGAGGGTCCCCACACACTCCTTGCACAGTTTTCCTGCTGTTAGCATTTTATGTGAGCATGCCTCATTTGTCACAGTTAATGAACACATCAACATGCTATTATCAACAAGGACACGTCACTGTTCCCCAAATCCACTCCCTCATTTTCTTAGTTTTCCCTGTCCTCTTTGTTTCCCAGGGTCCTATCCAGGATCCCACATGACATTAGCCCGTCTGCCCAGCCTCCTCTTGGCTGTGACAGTCTCTCAGTCTTTCCCTGCTTCTCATGGCCCAGGCGCTTTTGAGGTCAGGTGTGATGTAGAATTTTCCCCAGTCGGGATTTGTCTGATGTCTTCCTTGTGATTAGACTGGGCTGCGGTGTGGCGTGAGCCCGCAGAACTGCAGTGCCATCCCATCACAGTGTGACGAGGGCACACCCTACTATCCTGACAGGTCACTGTGGATGCTGACTGAGATCGCCAGGCTGAGGGGTGTGTAAGGCTTTCCCATTGCAAAGTTCACCTTTTCCCTCCATTTACATATTGTACTCTTTCAAAGAAATGTCACTGTGCACAGCCCTGAGCTGGGGAGTGAGGGGTTCTGTTCTGCTTCCTTGAGGTACTCTGTGGATTTTTGGCTAAATCTGGCAGCCCTCCTCACCCTTCAGTGGATCCTCCACTCTCCTCCACTGTCCTGGCTTCCTCATCCACTCCAGCCCAGGCAGCATTCTCCCTCTTTGCAAGCCAGGAGCACTAGGAATTTACAAGCCAGGATGCCTCACCCCAACCCCCTGCATAGCTGCCCTCTGATCACATACCTCAGACGAGACTGTCAGCTTCAAAGGGCAGAGGCCGTTCTTGGGTGACCGCTGACATCCCGGAGCACCTGGAAAGGAGCCAGCCGCAAACACCTGTCGGTCTCACTTGATGAACATCCTAACTGCAGGCTTCTTTTTCCCTGGACAGAGCAGACAGCCCTTCCAGAGTCATCACGAGCCCGGAAGCTGTAGTTCCCTCCTGAGCAGGGGAATTGGGTACCCCGATTTGTATCAGTTTCACAGGGTGAAGGAAAGGCCCCTGATGGACACACCATCCTATTTGTCCTCTGCGAGGCCAGTGATGACTGGCCAAGCAGCAGGAGGTACCAGTCACCCCAGGACCTGTGCCTACGTCTGTGCCAGGGTTCATCCTCATGCTGACTCCTGGTGAGGATGCTTGAGGCTGACTGGTCTGGAAACCAGCGTGGGATGGCATCCCATCCAGACCTTGCCTCTTGCAAGGCTGTCTTTCGCTTAACAGACTGAGGCCATGGTGCCCTCTGAGTCTCTGGCTCTCCCTGGCCTCCCTTTCAGGAAGATCTTCCTAGAGTCTATCCTCAAGCTTTCTATGGGCAGAGGACACTCTTCCCATCCTGGTCTACATCTCTGCAGAAAGGGCAGACCCTCCCCACATACCCTGAGAGTACCAGAGTTTAGCCTTGCGCCTCTCCCATTGCTCGGACTCCATAACACAGAGCTGTCCCTGGGACAAGAACACACCTTTCCAGAGATCGGGTCAGCCTGGTTAGTCCAGGTGGCCAGCGATCCTGGAATAGAGTTGAGTGGTCGATGGTGGCCACCTTTGTGGGGAGGAGGTCCAGGTCTTCAGATCTTGTGAACCAGACGCGAGTAGGTTCTGAGGCAGGGCAGCCCACGGTGCTGGGTGGTATCATCTGGCCTCACAGTGACCGGCCAAGGGCTCGGGGAGCCAGGGTTCCTGGCAAAAGCCAGCGGGGACGCCGGGTGTTCTGGGAGAGGCTGGTCTGTCCGTAAGCTGGCCCGGCTTTGATATGGAGCTGCACGTTCACCTGGAGGCAGGGTCCTAAAGGTAGAGAGGCTGCTGCGCCCCTCCTTGCTCTTTCCAAGCAGACCTGGCCTGCAGGAAAGGCCTCACACTGGGACAGGCTGGAGAGGCCACTGTGGTTGGGGAAGGTTCCAGGAGGGCAGGCGTGGAGGGAGCACAGGAACTGGGGGAGCCTGCTACCACCAGAGAGTTGGGGGAGTCCGGGTAGAGTCCAGCGTCCTGGGGAGTCGCAGCAAGGTCCTGCCGTGCCCACGGCCTGCTGCGTGGCTCTCCACGGTATCCTGGTCTCTCTGAGTTCCCTTCCCCATGGACAAGGCCATGGTGACAGCTCCACAGAAGCCTCCTGAGCATGGGAACCTGAGACAGTGCTGGGCCTCGGTGCTCCAAGGTGGGTCCTGGACCCCCAGGCTGGCTGAGCGGGAGCCTTGATCTGGAGGGAGTGGCCCTTGCCAAACCCGAGGAGGGCAGAGGCCTGGAGAAGCCTCACCTTGACAGGGGCTGAGGCTCTGAAGGTGGTGGGGAGGACTCTGAACCCCCTTGGGCCACCTGCCATTAAGAAATGGCAGGCACTTAAGCCAGTGTGCATGCTACACCTGGCTGTGTCAGCCCATCCTGGGAACGGGCCCTGTCTGGGAACGCCCCACCCCTGTCTGCTGCAGCGAGGTGAAGATCAGCACCTTGCCAGCATCCCCTGGCAGCCCTTTCTGTCTGTGCTATGAATTCTCTCTCACTTTTTCTTTTACCCAACACCATCTACATGGCTGTTCGTGCACAGGACTTTGATTTCTGTGATGTGCTCTGATGTGCGTCGACTGTATTTTATCTACCCATGACTGCACTGCTGGCTCCTGCAGCCATCAGAACCAACCTTTAATTAACATCACTGTATATACGGCTTATAGATTCAAAGGAGTTATTGAAGTTAGTCTTAAGACAGAATCCAAATGATGGGGTTTTATGCACTGGAAATGGCCCTTGAGGGGAAGGATGAGATTACCATTCCTGGGGAACTGTGGGGCTACGGTGGTGGAAAGGGGAGTTGCTGGTAATCCCTTCCCTCATTCTCACCCAGCGTGCATAAAATGCTGCTTCCTTTCCTAGCACATGTGCATTCCAATTCCTCCATTCTAATTTGATATATTTTTATCCAGGCACACATCTCCTCTGACAGGCAGGTGTCATTTGCTGGATTCTCTTTCTACCTTTTCTCTAAAACCTTTACTCATTTGCCAATCTTGGCAGACAGCTGGCATAATTTTTTATAGGTCCGGAATTTTATAATAGACTGGCATTATTTTGAGTTCTGGATGCCCCCATTTTTTAAAATGTCTTAAGAAAAGTCTCTGAGATATGGAAATGAAAACATGAAAAAGTTTAATTTCCTGCCTGAAATGGAGATGAAGAAGAGAAAATGTCAGAACAAACACAGATTAATTAATAGTAATATAAATTATCCTTTTTCTTTAATGAAAGAGGAATCATGCTTGGCAGATGTATGAGGGAAAATGCCTGCCTGGCTCTTGGATTTAGAGAAATCTGAATTTGCATCCTGGCACTGTGTGACCTTGAAGAAGTTATTAAGTGCCTCTAGGCCTTCATTTTTAAATATATAAAATAGGGATGGCTTTCTGCACTCATAGGACTTGTGTGAGGATTAAACGAGATACGATATCAGAGGATACCTCATGTGGGTTCAGGCACTGATTAGCATCTGAGCTTTGCCATCATCCTTAAGCTACAGATTGGATGGAGGAAGGTCAGCGTGAACCAGCCTGAGGGGTCCTGCGGTTCCTGTGGAAGGCTCACCTGTGGAGGGGGACAAAGTCCTTCTGAGCACCCACGCTGAGGCTGGGTTTCTCTGAGGCCCCCAGCTGACTGTGGACGCAAACACCCCCTGCTTCCCCCTCTCGCCAGGAGCTCCTGACCCTGTGAGCTCCAGGCAGCTCTTTACTGAACAGATCTTGATACCCAGGGGAACATTTCCTGAAGCAATTGCACGCTTGCATTTTATGCTTGGAAATTCCACTTAGGCTGTGCTCCTAGGGAAGGAGTCTGGACCCTGCCTCAGACCAGGGGCCCTCCAGCTGCCCCCTGTGATCCTGTCTCTCTGGAGGGGATGCTGTGCTCACCCCAGGCATTCATGGGGGCCCCTGGAATCCTCTACCAGATCAGATTAGCTAAGAGCTAGAGCTGGTGCCAGAGCAGACTGGGAACCACCTGGTGGCTAAGACCATTTTCTCCAGCTTCCGTGATGGTGTGACTAAGTGTGGCCCGAGGGGAGAGAGGGGAATTAATAATTGGTTCCGAGGTAAATTGATAGAGGAGATATAATGAGGAATGCTGACTTTGTGTGATATTGCTTGGTGCTCCTGTGCAATGATTGGATTTGCAAAGTCCGTGACTCAGCTCGTTCTTTGGGAAGTGAACCCTTAAAAATTGAGAGCTAATGAGAGCAGCCGTGTCCCTCTGATGCCAAGGTTCAGAACCTGGAGCCACGTGGGAGAAAGGCCATGAGAAATGGAGAAGAGTCTGCATCAGAAATGGCATGAGGGGCCCTGCAAACTGACCCCATTCCTTCTGGAATCGCTTCTCCTCTGGCTGGTAAGTGTGTACTTCTTTCTCCCACAGGCTCCTGTAAGTGGTGCTGGCTCTGCTGTCCACCCAAGGCAGCCGTCCCTGTGAGCCCCTGGTGAGCCGGGCTCCCGCCCTGTGAGGTACACACCCTGCAGGCGCAAGAGGGGTGCAGATGGGCTGAGTGCTGGGGGGATAAAGGCAGGAGGGGACTGAGAGGAAGGCTGGGTTGGACCGGGAGCCAGCTGGGCAGGGGCATTTATTGGGCACCACCGGGGCATACACAGTCCGGGTGCTACCTGAAGTGTGGAGCAGGGTGAGGACAAGAAAATGGAGAAAAGAAAAATCCCTGCTATTGGGTAGCTTAAGACTTGTGCTGGAAAATCAGTGGATCTGAGCAAGGTGCAGAGGAAGAGTGTGAGTCCAGGAATGCAGCAGTTGATGCTCCAGGCCTCACAGCGCTGGGCCCAGGGCCGGCTGACTGCACTGTACACCCAGACAGGGCAGCTCAGGGTGGAGTTATCGCAGGCCTCATCCAATTAGAGACTAAAAGTGTCCCCTACTCTTACTGTTCATGGTGACCTTGTGAGTCACCAATCTTCTATCTGATGCTAAATATTATTTTAATGGGTTTTGATATTTTAAATATAAACCATAGACGCACTCAGAACAGATGATTCTTATTTTATCACGTGGCTTTCTGAAGAGCTGTGCGTGTAGCTCTATGCAGGTAGATCTGGGTGAAAGCAACGGTGCAAAGTGGCTTCTGCCCTTCCAAGCTTTGGCAACTCAGCAGGGAGGTGCTGGTTCCTTCTCCCACCTACGCTCCCTGTCAGGGCTGATCCTCAGTAATGGGCAGTGTGGTCCTCGCTTTTTCACCTGTTATCTGTCACCGACAGCAGCAAATCAGGCAAGGGCTGTGCAGAGCCCACACAGGGAGCATGGCAGAGCAGCGGCCCTGAGGCTGCAGGATGGAGCCAACGCATCTCTCAGTTAAGAGCCAGGGGTCTGGGTTCCTTTCCACCTTTGCACCATCAAGCGGTGTGGCCTCTTACAAACCCTCAGTGCTGGTATCCTTGGTCCCTTCTGATTGCCACAAAGGGTCAGGAGTGGGGGCTGGACCACAATGAGAAAGTCCCTTCAAATTGTGACCATTTGTGGTTGAACTGTGTGACTTACAGCACGGAGATTCTGAGTCGCTTTGATAGGAGCTAGAGTTTCAAGGTTAAAAACAAGGTGAGTACAATATTGAGATAAGTAGATTCTAGATTCACCCTTGGAGACTGGCACAGTTTGTAGGTGTGGAGGAATGGGAACACAGCCCTGAGATCGAAGATGAACAAAAGGGAATAATCCAAGAGGAAAAGCTCAGAGGGTGGGTAGGTGTGGGGACAGGAGAGGCAGGACCAGCCCTGAAGAGCACAAGTAAATGTGGCCTGTCCTCGTCTGGAGCTGCTGAACACCCCGAGACACTGAGAGGGGAGGGGTGAGGTCACCTCCCCTTCCCAGGCCTGTGTGTGGGTCTCTCTCTCTGTGACACACACACACACACACACACACACACACACACACACACGCACGCACAGCATGAGGTATGCACATGGTCTCAGCTGACATCTGAAAGCATGGGAGTGCTTTATCTGCGCTGAGATCTCTCCCGCCGTCTTCCTGGGAGAGGAGGAACGGGTGCTTTACCACAGCCGAGCGTTAGGGGGCGCCAGAGGAGCTGATATCGGACTTGCTTAGAGGAAGATTTAGAAATGATTTTTGCTCAGAAAGGAAAAGCCGGGAGCATAAACACATCAAAAGGCCTCTGCAGCTGTGCTCCCTGCTAGCGAGGGGCTGGCCCTGGCTGAGTCCTCTGGTGGCTGTTGGAGATTTCCAGCCTGCCTCAAAGGGCCGTGCTTCTGCTCCAGCGCCAGGAGCCAAGGCTAGCCCAAGGTCATACAGATTTTTTTCCTGTTTTCTTCTCAAAGTTTTATAATTTTTGATTTTACATTTATTTCTATGATCTACTGTGAATCAAGTTTTGTATATGGTGTGATAAAGCTCATTTAATACATAACGAATTGTCTCAGCACTGTTTGTTAAAAAATACTCTTTTTTTTTTTCTGCTGAAACGCCTTTGTACTTTTGTGGAAAATTAATTGTGTATATATACTTGGGTCTATTTCTGGCCCCCCTAGTTTCTTCCCATGGGTCTATTTATTATCTGCATTTATGACAAGATCACACTGGTTTGAGTATTGCAGTTTTATAGTAAGTTTTGAATCAGATGTTAGGCCTTTAACTTTGTCTGTTGTACTTTCTGATAAATTTTAAAATGATGTTATTACGCATATATTCAGTAGTTTGATTTAGCTGTTCCACAATGTATATACATTTATCAATCTTCTTGTACACCACAAATATTTATAAATTTTGTCAATTGAAAAAATAAACAAAAATGTAAAACAAATTATTTAATGAATTTCTTAAACAATATTTCTGGGACTTGGAATTGCATCAAATATATAGATCAATTTGGGCATATTTGGTAAGATTATTGGGTCTTATGACCTATGGACATGGTGTATTTTCTCTGTTACTTAGGCTTTTTATTTTCACTCAGCATTACTTTATAGTTTTCGGTGTATAGGTGTTGCATGTCTTTGCCTTACTTGATGCTAAATATTCCTACTTTTTATCTTATTCTAAAGTGTATTCTAAGCATTTCAAGTTCCAAATATCGTTTGTAAGTATTACAGAATAAAGTTTATTTTTTGACATGAATACATGCTTTCAGATAGGCTTTATTTTTTAGAACAGTTTTAGATTTACCAAAAAATTGAGAGGGTAATATAGAGTCCCCTACCCCCGCACCCAGGTTCTCCTATTGTAAATATCTTACATTAGCATGGACAGTTGTCACAACTGATGGGCCTATGCTGATGCAGTAACTAAAATCCACACTCCATTCCAGTTTCTTTCATTTTCCCCTAACGCCCTCCCCCGTTTCAAGATCCCATGCGGAATCCTAGGTTACTTTCAGTCGTCATGTCTTCCTGGCCTCACTTGGCTATGAGTGGCTCAGGCTTCCATTGTCTTGGACAATCTTGACAGTTTTGAGGGCTACTCAGGTGTTCTATAGAGTGTCCCTCACCTGGGATTTGTCTGATGTTTTCCTTATGGCTAGACAGGGGTTATATATTTTTGGGAGGAAGGGGGATCACAGAGGTGAAACGTGCCATTCTCATCCCACTGTATGAAGGTATGGACTCAATGCCAGTGTTCCCAACCTTGGTCATGGTGAAACGTGCCATTCTCATCCTGCTATATGAAGGTATGGACTCAATGCCAGTGTTCCCAACCTTGGTCGTGGTGAAACGTGCCATTCTCATCCCACTGTATGAAGGTATGGACTCAATGCCAGTGTTCCCAACCTTGGTTGTGGGGCTGAGGCAGTGGTCACCAGGTTTCTCCACTGTAAAGCTGCTCCTTTCCCTGCCCCTCATATTGCACTCTTTGGAAGGAAGTCACTATGCACAGCCCATGCTTCAGGAGAGGGGTCATGCTACCCCTTCTTGAGGGCAGGGAATCTACAGGGATTTGAAATTCTTCTGCATGGGACAGTGGTCTCATCTTCCCAAGTTACTCACTTATTCAATCATTTCTTTATATCAGTACGGACTCATGGATATGTACTTTATACTTTGGGCTATAATCCAATAATTGTTTATTTTGTGGCTTAACTGTGTTCTACTTTTGGCCATTGGACATACATTCAGCTGGCTCCTCTGTTTCTTACCATTATCCACATGGTTTTAAAAATGGGTTGGTTTTTCCTTTTTTTTTTTCAGCGCGTTTTAAATTTCTGGGACTATAAGATGTTTCAGGCTTACCTTTTCTATTTCTTGCCCCAGTCTTAGAGTCAACCATTTCTGCAGTAAGCCCTGATTTCTTTTGTGGAGAATGACATTAGAAACCAAGATCTGGGTGCTAGGTACATTTGACTTTTGTATAATGAATGTGTATCCTGCAAACTTGCATTCATTATTATGTGTGTGTGTTTTGTAGTTTTTATTTTTTTTAAATTTAAATAAGCTTGTAATCTGTGAAAATAGGCAGTTTACTCATTTATTTATTTCTACTCAATCTGATTGTCTTCTTCTTCTTTTTTTTTCTAATTTAGCTGTTTAGAACTCCCAAAACAATAATAATTTTAGAGATAAGAACCATACAGTCTCTCCTGTTACTAATTTTAGGGGAAAATATAGAATATTTCAGCATTAAGTATGATATTAATTATAGGTTTTTAATAGATTCCCATTATCAGGTTGATAGCTGAGAGATTTTACTAGGAATAGATGTTGGATTTTGTCTGCATCAATTGAGATAATCACATGGTTTCTCTATTTTAATTACTGAATTACAATGAATGATTGATTTTTGAATGTTTTCTGACACTAAACACCACCACTTTAAGTGGTAAATTCCCAGAAAACTCTCCACACTCCAGAAACCAGCCACATTTGGGGTCCCCAGGCCACCTGCACTTCTGACTAATTGGCTACAAGTATAGAGTACTTCCCAATCTTCCTCAAATTCAATAGTTCAATAAATGACTCACACAAACCATATAAACATTATCATTACAATTTGATTCTAAAGGACACAAATCAAGATCAGCCAAATCAAGAGACACAGGACAAAATCTGAGAGGATCTCAAGCATACAGCTTTCGTGTTTTCTCCCTGTGGGATCAAGCACGTCACTATCCAGGCACATCAACTGGAAGCTCCACTAAGCCTTGGTGTCCAGAGTTTTTATGGGGCTTTATTAGGTAGGCATGATTGAGTCGTGGGTCAGGTGAGTAAACTTCATCTGTAGCCCCTTCACTCCCTGGAGGTCAGGCTGTCTTCAAGCCCCAACCCTCTAATTACACGGCTGGTCTTTCTGGTAAAGCCCCATCCTGAGTCAGTTCATCCTTAGCATAAACTCATATGTGGTCCAAGGGGCTCCTGAATAACAAGGACACTCCTATTACTTGGGAAATTACAGGGATCTAAAGTCTCCCAGGAACCAGGGGAAAAGGCCAGTGGAATGATTCATTATACAATATAACATTGAACCAACTTTGCGTTCCTGAAATAAGCTCCACTAGGTTATGATGCATTTTTTAAAAATGTATTGTTGGGTTCATTTCTATAATTTTGCTTAGAAATTTTGCACCTGTGTTCATGTGGGATGATGACTTACAGTTTTATTTTCTTGTAATGTCTTAGTGTAGTTTTGGGATGAAGGTAATTCTTGCTTCAAAAAATCTATTGGGAAATAATGTATCCTTTTAATTTTTTTGCAGGTTTGTGACAGATTGGCATAATTTCTTCTGTATGTACTTTGTAGAATTCACCAGTGGAACTATCTGGGCCTTCAGTTTTCTTTATGGGAAGGTTTTACAGTAAAAATTCACTTTCTAATATAGAGAGAGGTTTGTTCAAGTTTTATATGACTGTTCTTGCATTGTCTTTGATAGTTTGTATCTTCAAGTAATTTTTCCATCTTATCCAAGCTCTCAAATGCACTGACATAAAGCTGCTCGGGATATTCCGTTATTACCCTCTCAGCCTCTGATCTGCAGTGATGCACCTTCTACCCTTTCTGGTCTTGGTAATTTATGACTCCCATCAGTCCGATGAATTTTTATCAATTTTTAATCTCATCAAAGCTCTTGATTTTCTCTTCTATTAAAATGTTTTCTACCTCATTTTTCCCTTCTTTCGTCTGCATCATTTCCTGTCTTCAAATCACTTTGGATTTAATGTTGGGTTTTCCTTTACATCCAGTTCAAATTATTTTATAATTTCAATTTTTATTTCTTTATTGGCATGAGTGGCTATTTAAATAATAAGTATATTATGTAGTTTTCAAACAATTGGAAATTTTTAAGAGATGCTTTTATTATTGATTTCTAATGTAATTGTATTGTGGTCGGGGAACATATTTTGTATGTGCCTGATATGGTTTGGATGTTTGTTTCCTCCAAATCTCATGTTGAAATGTGTCCCTCAGTGTTGGAGGTGGGGCCTGGAGGAGATGACTGTGTCCTGGAGACAAAGCCCTCATGCACAGCTTGGTGCCCTCCTCATGGTGAAGAGTGAGTTCTTGCTCTATCAGTTCCTGCAAGGGCTGTTTGTTTAAAAGAACCAGGCACCTCCCTCCTCTGTCTCTTGGATTCTCTCTGGCCATGTGGTCTCTGCACACACAGGCTTCCCTTCAACTTTTCACTTTCCACTATGACTGGAAGCTTCCCGAGGGCCTCACCAGAAGCAAATGCTGGCACTGAGCTTTTTGCACAGCCTGCAGAACTGTGACTGTAACTTTTTCTTTATTAATTACCCAGCCTCAGGTTTTCCTTTACAGCAACACAAATGGATGAAGACAATTCCTCCGATTCTTTTAAATGTATTTGAGACTTTTTCTGGCCTATTATATGGTCTGTGTTAGAAAATATTCTGGGTTCAGTTGAAAAGAATGCTTACTGTGATATTTTAGGTGTTAATATTCATTAAATGTCAATTAGATCAAGTTACTTGATAGTATTTTTCAAATCTTCTATATCCTCAACAATTTTCTATTTGTTCTATTAATTATAGACAGAATGATATTTTTCAAATGTGATTAAGCTTGTGATTTTTTTCTCCTAGTCATTCTAAGAGTTTTTGCTTCAGCGATTTCAAAACTCTGTTACTAGGCAGGTATAAAACCATTTAGGATGGTTATGTGCTCCTGATGAACTGATCATTTTTCTTATAATGAGCCATATATTCTTTTTTCTTTGTGTGCCAGATACATTTTTATTGGATGCCAAACATTGTTAATTTTACCTTGTTAGGTGGTGTGTGTTTGTGTGTGTGTCTGTGTCTCTGTGAGTGTATGTGTATATGTGTGTGTGTATACATATATATTGCTGTACGTATTATCTGGCTCTGTTCTGTAATTCCGTCATGTTACTGGAAATTGATTTGGTCATTTTGAGTCATAGGTTGAACTGGAGCTCTATTTGGTGTAGGGGTAGTTATTTTTCACTACAGAGAAAAGACCCTTCTATGTACTGTAGCTGATGTCTCATGTCCTGTGAGGTTTTCCAGTCTGGCTGGTGGAGGCACACACTGTCCTTATTTCTGTGTGAATCTGCTGGACACTGCTGCGTCTAATCCTTTTGGGTATTTTCGTGACAATGGGTAACTTACTTACACCCGTGCACTGATAAGCACCCAATCATCCAGCTTTTATTTTTAATACTAAAGTGAGAAAAGCAAATCTGGGAGGAATTTCACGTGCTCTTTTCAAAGCCAAATGTAAATTTTCTACCTTTTTAGTCTCCACGCCTTTGATTCCCTTTCCCCAATTAGACAGGCACTTGAGGACTGGGTGCATATGTGAATGGGATGAGTCTTTCCTGCCACAGGTCCCCAATTAGACAGGCACTTGAGGACTGGGTGCATATGTGAATGGGATGACTCTTTCCTGCCACAGGTGATGGCACAGGAGGACAGAGTCCAACGGCACCTTGGGACTTGTTCTGGCTAAGGTGCCATATGTGACTTAGGCCACTGTACGCCAAGTGGGTCCCAGGCAGGGATCCATCTCCCTGGAGGGAGGAGAAGGAGTCTCCTGGGACTTATTAATTCTAGTGTCTTATTGATTATTAACAACTTCATACTGATAAGCTCGGCAATTGAAGAGACTTGGATGAGTCCTTGGAAGGACATGGAAGGACGTGCAGATGTGTTTGGGGGGCTTCCAGCTCTTTCTGCAGGTGGAGCTTTTCTGTTCCTCCAGTTGTGCCGCTTATGAGAGACTAGACTCTCTCCATCTTTTCTGTGAGCATCCAGTGGGTTTCATGGAGATAATACCTACAAGAAAAGTGTGGCCTTTCCCCACATCTCCACCCACAGTGGCTTTGCCCTCTCTCAGCAGTGCATAAACAGGCTGCAGCGGAAGACCAGCTGCTCACGACGAACGCTTCTCCCTGGTGCCCCACTGCCTCCAGCCTGAGTTCAGTCAGTACTCAGCTGCAAATCTCGTCTCTAAATCCCAGGCAATGTGGCTGTCCTGTCACCTCAGCATTCCAAGGGGGTCAAGAAAAGTTGTGAACTTGCTGTTTATCTGAATTATTTATTGCAAGTTTGGGAACAACACTCTTTCCAACTCTCCAGGCAGAAATAGGAAAGCCTCTGCATGCTTCTGGAGTACTTTTTGGTATCATTGTTTGCTCCTAAATAGTCTTATTCGCTACACTCTTTATATTTAGTGGTTTTCTTTATACACACACACACACACACGCACACAAACACACACACAAGTTAGCAAAACTTAGCAGTCTAAGTAAACCACTTCCTGTAAAATGCTGGAAACTTAGGAAATTGTTTCATTTACACCTCATGTCCTTTGCACTATTTCTCATGATTTTTGTGCATGTTATAAATCCCAAATGCATGGCTATTATTTTTCATTTAAACAGTTTATTATCTATTTTTTTTTTCCTGAGACAGAGTCTTGCTCTGTCACCCAGGCTGGAGTGCAGTGGTGTGATCTCGGCTCACTGTAACCTCTGCCCCCTGGGTTCAACCAGTTTTCCTGCTTCAGCCTTCTAAGTAGCTGGGATTACAGGCATGTGCCATCATGCCCAGCTAATTTTTGTATTTTTAATAGAGACGGGGTTTCACCGTGTTGGCCAGGCTGGCCTTGAACTTCTGACCTTGTGATCTGCCTCCCTCAGCCTCCCAAAGTGCTGGGATTACAGGCATTGAGCCATCGCACCTGGCCTATTAGCTGAGTTTTTTTTTTAATAAAAATTAAAAATAAGCCTTTAATATATACCTTCTTTTAAAAACATTTCCAACATATATTTTCCTTTCTATAAATACAGTTAACATTTGGTATAATATCATTTAGTCCGAAGAACTTCAACAGGTATGCAGCAACATTTGTTCAGAATATTTTGTCTTAAAATGTTTCTATTTTATGTTCAATTTTGAAGGCTATTTTTGCTGGATAGAGAATTTTAGGTTGACTTTTTTCTTCTGGTGCTTTAAATATGCTTTTGCATCATCTTCAGGCTTGCATTTTTTTTGTTGGTAACCTGCAAACATTCCAATGTTTATCCTTTATAGAGTAAGTCTATTTCTTCCTTCTGACTTCTAGTGTTTTCTTTCTATCACAGTTTTGTAGCAACTTAATTAAAATACACCACGTGTTTTCCGTTAGATATATATTGCTTGGGTTTTATCAGCTTTCTTGATGTTGCCCCACATGGCACAGCCCTGCAAGCTCCAGCAGCCTCCATATTTCTGGATTCTAATCTCTGTCTCCTCACTTCAGTGAGACGACTGTGCCGTGTTTGGTTTCCCTTTCCTTGGAAACCAGAACGGGAAAGGGACTCCAGAGGGGAAGGCATCGCTCAGGTGTTGCAATCCTGTGCTGTGTGTTGTCTGATTTGGGAGGAACTGTTACCCCATGTATCTGGCTCAGCTCTCTCAACGTGCATACATCGGGTCAAGTCTGGTGCCAGTTACTCTGTTAGAGCCACAGCCAGGGCTTTCCAATCACTCCTTAAGGATTCATTGGTTAGACATGCTAGTGCACACTTAGAAGGTTCTTCCCACTGTATAACTACTGCCATGTGATATGTATCTAAAGCAAATGAGGTTTCTCTAGTATAAGGAAACTGGTTTTAAAATAAAAATGCAACCCTTGCCATGCCCTTGAGTTTCCCGTTCTCTGTATTGTTGGGGCTGCATCCGGTAACCAAATTTCTTGCAGGCACTAGCAGATGAGCCCCTTGCTGTCCCTCCACATGCCCCCTCTCCACTTGGGCCCATGTTTGCTCATCTGGACCCCTCTCCTGAGGAGAAACTGGTCTTTCCTCAATTCTGATGAGAACATGTATCCCCAGCCAAGCCCATGGAACTCAAAATGACATGGACCTCAGCTGGCCCTTGCACTGGCTGGCCATGTCCTTCAGCAGAAGGCTCAGCAGGTCCTGTTGTGCTTTGCTAGGGTCAGCGTGAATGAAAGGGAAGGCTCATAATTACGGTAATAAAACAGTTATATTCAGTCGTCGTCATTTTCATGTCAGATGGAGGTAATTATCAGCATTTATAGAGGGTCTGCCAGGGGCCAGGCTCAGAGCTGGTGCTGGGTATACAGTGGTGCATAAAACCAGTGAGGTCTCTGATCCTGCAAAGCTTGGAATTGAGAATCTAGCTCAAGCAAAACCACTTTAATATTATTTGTCAATAAAATTTACTTTGTTTGGATTAGTAAATGTCATTTTTCCTCTTTAGAAATGATTTTGTTGTATATTAGAGTAGCATTGGGCGTAGTTCTCAAAATCATCCAAAATATTTTGGCAATGTGCGTTCACATAGACCCTTGACTGTGGCCAAACACATAACCGTTCCTTATGGCATGTCTCTGGCACATCCCTGGAAACAAATAGATGAGAGCAATAGGTCATGAACATCAGGGGACCACAGACTTAGATGTGTGTCAAGGAGATCTGGACACCTCCAAGGAACACTCTGTATTCAAGGAAGCATCCTATCGGTAATGCTTCCACTCTGGACACCTCCAAGGAACACTCTGTATTCAAGGAAGCATCCTATCGGTAATGCTTCCACTCTGTGTGACCATTTCTGCAAGGCTCTGGCACAGGGAAGCCATCCTGGCTCATTGTAAAGTCCTCCGCCGCCAAGAACACCATTTGACCACAATCCACTGCTACCAGTTACATGTAATGACTAGAATATCTAAGGTTCTTTGAAGCTAACATTAATTTTCAGTGGTGGAGAAGATCCCTTTTCTCCCACCATGGGTCTGAAGGGATAAAAATCCAATCACCTTGGGATAAAAGTGTCTTATTTTTGTCTTCTGAGTAATTTAGCATGAACGCAAAAAGTGCAACCATTCAGCAGAGAGAGATGGGAAGGAACCCAGGTTTATTTTCGAGAAACAAGCACATCTCTGCCTCTTTCTTTGACCCTGAAAGACAAACGTCTTTTCAAGATGCTGCACAGAATGTTAAGACAAAATGCTAACCAGTTCATGGAGAAAATGAGGTGCTTTCATTGAAAAATAACTGTGTTTTTATATTTTCATTATATAGTTCACAGTCACCCCCTAGTAGCAATTACACGTTTCCTCTTCCTCATGTTCTCCTGCAGCTTTCCTCTTTCCTCAGTTCAGGGAGTGTCAGCAAACTGGTTGGAAGGCTGCAAGCTGGGCAAAAGCTTTGCAGTCGGCATTCGCCATTCTGGGATATCATTCATTAGAACTGGCTGTCCACTACCAGACCTCCTTTTCTTATTTTGCCTAATAGGACAAGCTGCATTCATTGACAGAATTCACCGTTTTTATCCTTCTTCCCCCTGCCCACCACTGCCGCCACCTCTCTCTCTCTCTCTGTCTATTTAATACAGGGACTCAGGCTAAGAACTGCATGGTATAATGCGTTTATCATTCTTATCTCGTCGTTTTTATTCTAGTGTGAAGTTGTTTTTCAGGTAGTGATGAACTCACACACAATTTCTCCCCTTTTTGAGTAATATGCAGTGTTTATGAAGAGGAGGCTAATTGTGCTGACCTGTTACCAGAGTTGTCATTAGTGTTTTCCTGCAGTTGATTCCTATATTGTCTTCTGTCTCTCATGCAAGCCCATGCTCCTTTATTCTTTCTTAATGGATGCTTTTTCTGTGGGGATAATCAAGGAACTGACAGCTCCCTCGAGATTAAATGTATGACTTTGAAGTTGTAGAACGAGGAGAAAGTACCAGGTGTTGAAGCCAGTATAGGCAGATCCAGACCAGCGTCATGTCCCCAGGCAGCCTCTCCACCTCAATTCTTCACAGAAGGAAAAATAAGTATGTGTCACAAGTCAGTGCAGGACCAGCATCCCAGGGGCCCTGCATTGAAACTCCAGGTAACTGGCCAATACCTCACTGGGCAGGTGTGCCGTATCTGATTACCCCGTTTGATTAGATCATATCTTGGGATTCATTAAGATTAACTGATAGAGGCTGGGTGCAGTGGCTCATGCCTGTAATCTCAGTACTTTGAGAGGCCAAGGCAGGAGGATCACGAGGTGAGGAGTTTGAGACCAGCCTGGTAAACATGGTGAAACCCTGTCTCTACTAAAAATACAAAACTTAGCTGGGCATGGTGGCTCGTGCCTGTAATCCCAGCTACTTGGGAGGCTGAGGCAGAGGTTGCAGTGAGCGGAGATCACACCACTGCACTCCAGCCTGGGCGACAGAGTGAGACTCCATCAAAATAAATAAATACATAAATAAGATTAACTGTTAGAGCAGGACTTGGGGGCAGGGGGCAGGGCAGTGAGATATGCTAACCCTATTCTCCCACTCAGGTGACAGGAGGGCAGCTGCTGATGCAGACGGAGGGTGCTCCCTGTCTCAGCAAGAGCAGAGTCCACGGGTTGAGGCAAGGGGGGCCTGCTGGAAGTCAGGCCAAGTGGAGCTCCGGGTGTACTAGAAAGGTGGATGCAGCTCACAGCACGGTGAGATGTGGAAGTACAGGCATTTGGTGTGTGTGCAGGAGGAGCTGGTGACAACAAGGCTGGCCCAGGCCCAGGAGACCAATGGGGCATTAGGATGCCTCCTACATAAGGTCTAGGGAAGAAATGCAGCTGTGAGAATTAGGCTCAGAAACAAAGCAAAAGCACAGGGGCGTGTGGTGTGTCCCTAATGCTGAACTCTGGGAATAGGTCTGGAGGGTGGAAGACCAGACATTGTGCTGCAGTCGCGATTGGTCCTGGTGACTAGGAAAGGGAATCCAGAGACCTCATTTTTGGGACAAGGGGCTGCATATGGAGGTTTACTACCAGAAGGGGCCTGAGGTTTGTGTCACTATCACAAGGGCAAGGTCATAAGTTTTCTGTGAGGCCCTAAAATTAGTACCATGCCCCAGCCATAGACCATGTACTTCATATTTGCTAGTTCACTTGGAAATCTACATTGAGGGTGCCAAGCCATTGAGTGTCTGAGAAAGAATGAATGAAATGAATGACAGCAATCAGTGTCTGACACCTGCTATTTATGCATCAAATGCAGTAGAATGAATGATCAGTAAAAACTCTCTACCAGCAGGAAAAATAATCAAAGCGCTCCTTAACTGATCAGATGCTGTTGTCACACTGGAGTGTGGGTGATGAGGCTGACCTATAACAGGCCAGAATAAAAATCCGGTGGAATGAAGGTCTGTCTTAGAGACCCCGAAGACAAATGAGAACTGACACGGCTCTTGTGTTCTGCAAAGCGCTGTCACAGACGTGCCATTTTACCTCTGCAGTGACCCCGCTGCTATTGACATCATCACTCACATTTCACAGCCCAGGAGCCTGGGACTCAGGGTGATGGAACAACTGCCAAAGTTGGACCCACAGGGTGGACACATGATGGTCTGAGTGGTTCCTAAAGGCAGGACATGGAGGCCAGTTCTGTAGAAACACACCGGCAGCAGGACAGGACACCAGGAAGTCAGCACCAAAAACTCTAGAGGCAGAGAGAGCTGTGGAACTCGGTTCTGGACTGTGTGTCCTGTAGTATGTAGGCAAGTCTGGGCCCCAAGTACAGAGTCCTTCAAAAAGTGGGCCAGAAGCTAGCCTGTGTTTGAGGCAGGAAGATAAATGCTATTACTATTTCTAATTATACAAACACAAAGGAAGCTTTAGCTCTGAGATCGCAGTTACTGTTTAAAATTTAAGTCTAAATTCCAAATTTAAAGTTTCTTAAACGTTCACATGATGCCAGTGAAGGGCAGGTGTCCATTTTAATATATTCTCAAATGGGGCAATATTGAGAGTCAGAGGGGGAGTTGCTAAATATTTGCCTGGAGTGGTGGCATCAGCATTCCCTGGCAGATCTGCTGGTGTCGTGCCGGGCTGCCCCGGGGGCGCTGGAAGAACGGGCCCAGCAGCTCAGGACAGGGTTCCTCTCCCCAGGAGGGGCAGCTCCCAATTCCCACTGTGGACAGACACAGACTTTGTTTGAGTGAATCACTCCTACTAGTTGTGCAAAATCAGGAAGCCAGCCCAAAAGACCTTTGGATGCTGAGGATGAGGATGGGATCATTTAAATTTTATTTTTAAATGAAAGACCTGCCTTCTTTCCAATTCTGCCCTTAATTGGCCATGAGCCTCAGGCCTGCCCTGTTCTCTCTCCTTAGCATCACTTTGCTCATCTATTAAGTGGGAATTGTGGCCCCTTCCCCACCTCCCTGCTGTGTTTTTCTGAGGGGCAAATGAAACAAAGCGTGTTAAAGCTCCTCATGAGGTGGATACTCTTAACAAAGGTGTATGGTTAACTGTAGGTGTTAGCTTGACTGTATGAAGGAATACTTGGACGGTAAAACATTATCTCTGGGTGTGTCTGGGAGGGCATTTCTGGCAGAGGCACACTGGAGTCAGTGGACTGAGCCAGATCCACCCTCACCCAGCATGGGTGGGCACTGTCCAATCGCTGAGGTCTCGAGAAGAGCAAAAAGGCAGAGGAGGGTGAATTCTCTTTTGTCCCCTTTCTCTTGGAGCTGGGATGTCCTTCTCCTGCCCTTGGGTATCGGAACTCAAGGTTCTCTGTTCTTTGGACTCCAGGGCTCGCACCACAGCCCCCAGTTTCTCAGACCTTTAGCCTCAGACTGAGAGTCCCACTATCAGCCTTACTGGTCTTGATGCCTTCCAATTTGCTTGGAGCCATTCCACACCAGCTTCCCCGGGTCCCCCGCGTGCAGACGGCCTCTGCTGGGGCTTCTCAGCCTCCATAATCATGCGAGCCCATCCCCTGATCAGGCTCTTCTCATGTGTCTGGCAACGACCTATTTCTATTTCTTTTCTTTTCTTTTCTTTTTTGAGACAGAGTCTCATTCTGTCACCCGGGCTGGAGTGAGGTGGCACGATCTCGGCTCACTGCAAGCTCCATGTCCCACGTTCACGCCTTTCTCCTGCCTCAGCCTCCCGAGTAGCTGGGATTACAGGAGCCCGCCACCGACCAGCTAATTTTTTTTGTATTTTTAGTAGAGACGGGGTTTCACCGTGTTAGACAGGATGCTCTCGATCTCCTGACCTCATGATCCGCCCACCTCGGCCTCCCAAAGTGCTGGGATAACAGGCGTGAGCCACTGCGCCCGGCTCTATTTCTGTATTCATGTCTAGATCCTTTGTTTTTTCCTCTGGAGAACCCTGACTAATACAAAAGGTAAGAGCCCATCTGTGAGGCATCGTTTCCTCTTAGTAGCAGTGTCAGCTGACAGGGGTGCACCAGCGCTTGAATGCTCGTCCCTCCAAAACTCATGTTGACATGTGTAAGTCAGTCCAACCATAACAGTACTAAGAGGCGGGGCCTTGAAGAGGTGATTAGGCCATAAAGCTTCTGCCCTCATGGGTAGGTTTAGTGCTTTTACAAAGGGCTTTCAGGACTCGGTTCTTTCTCTCACCCTCTCACCTTCCACAACAGGAGGATCCACAAGGAAGACCCTCACCAGATGCCAGCACCTTGATGTTAAACTTCCCAGTCTCCAGAGCTGTGCAAAATACATTTCTGTTCATTATAAATTACCCAGTTTCAGGTATTCTGTTATAGCAGCACAGAACAGACTAAGACAGAGTGAAAGTTTGTTGTTGATTTTCCTTTGGTGAGGCTGTGAGCTCTGTGGATGGGTGTCTCGGGGAGAAGCAGGTCCTTCAGTTTGGGAGCACTGAGTTGAGAGAGCAGCAACAAGGAACCAAGCAGATGCTGTGCCCAGGACTCCTGGCTACCGAGAGGCCAGCAGGAAAGAGAAATGCCGCAGGAGTCGCAGATGGATAAGCAGGTGCCGCGCGGGTGTCAGTGTTTTCTATCTTAGCTCGGTAGCAAATAAACACATATCTCAGTAATATTCTTCCTGGGATAGAGAGATGCTGGGGGAAGGACCACTTCTTCCTCTCAGGCTTTAAAACAGCACATCAGGGAGCATGATGGGAAATGCTCTGATTTACTCCAGGGCTAGAGGATTTCAAAGATACAGGGGATGTGAAGGGAAGTCGGGCTGCTTCCAACGCCTGGGGAAGGGCGGGCCAGAGAGCCAGCTTAAAAACGATGGAAAAATGCGAGGTGGGACTCCTCCTGCCTCATTTGGTTTTAAAAATAAGGTATTTGTATTCCTAGAGCTAAGTCTCCAAACAAACTTAAATTTACATTAGGATACCTTGTCAAATATTGCTGTTTAAAATGGCCTGTTTAAATAAAGCTTGGTTTTTTTTTTAAAATGGGGATTATTGAGCCAGAGACATGTAAATTCTTCAGCCCTTGCTGGGAAAATGGGTCACTGCAATTAAATATCAAATAAACTCTTTTCAAGGACAATTATTCTTTCTTCTTTAATGATGAAGTTTCAATGATCAGTGTGTGTCCTGCATAGATATTTCTTTTCTTTCTCTCCATGTGGAAGGAAAGTGAGAAGAACCTATAAGAAATAAAACTTGGAGTGATCATCTGCGAGCAGGCAGTCACAGCCACAAAAGCAACAGTCGCTTCAGTGGCAGCGCCGGCAGCCAGGGGCTTTCAGGTGTTTCCCGCCAAGGTGCTCCGGAGACATGGAACAGACGCCACATGAGGGATTTTGTACCTCGATAGACTTGATGACAGTTTTTTTTAAAAGGCAGGAGAAGGGGAGCTGGAGAGGGGAGCATTGTAGCCCCAGCCCAGGCTTGAAGGTTGGGACTAAACAAAGTGATGACTGGTAGAATAACAGCTCACACTTACTGAGCTCTTACTGCCTGGCAAGCTCTCTTCTGTGTTCTTTTTTCTTTATTTATATTTTGAACTTTTATTTGAAGTTCAGGGGTACATGTGTGGGTTTGTTATATAGGTAAACTTGTCATGAGAGTTTGTTGTAGTTTATTTTGTGGTACTAAGCCTAGTACCCATTACTTATTTTTCCTAATCCTCTCCCTTCTTCCATTCTCCAGCCCCAGTGTGTGCTGTTCCCCTCGATGTGTCCATGTGTTCTTATTATTTAGCGCCCACTCATAAGTGAGAACATGCAGCATTTGGATTTCTGTTCCTGTGTTAGTTTTGCTGAAGGACAATGACCCCCGGCTCCATCTGTGTCCCTGCAGAGAACATGATCTTGCACATTCTTATCACCGCAGAGTATTCCATGCTGTGTATGTTGCCTTAATTCATCGGCTCTTTATGACAACCCTGGGACATATGTCCTACTGTTATCCCCACATCGGCACATGAGAACACTGGTCATCCAGAGGTTAAGAAACATTTCTAAGGTCACAGAGCTAGTGCAAGGTAGGAATGGAATGAGCAGCCCAGAGAGCACTGGATTAAACACTGTGCTAAACACCCACAGGCAATGGAGAGGAAATGCATTAGATTTGTTATATGGAAATCTGTCTTTAAATAATACCATCTTCAGATATATCATTGTGAAAATTACCTAGAAATATATACACTAATATGTTTTAAAAAGAATAAAGAATATTCTTTTACTTAATGTGTTCTTAAATGAAATAAGTATCTTTCAGTTTAGATTTTGAAACAAGTGTTGTTTTGGGACTCTGTTCACTGACATAGTATTTAGAACTTTTGCATCAATATTTGTAAGTGGTATTAGTCTGTAATCTAATTTCACTGTGCTGTGTTTATCAGGTTATATCCATTTTATACTTTATAAAGCTAATTTGAATATTTTATTTATGTTCATTGGCTGCAGCAATTTATGTATCATTTGAATTATTTCATCTTTGAATGTTTGTTGGAATTCACCTGTGAAACTATTCAGGGCTGGGTGTGGTGGCTCATGCCTGTAATCCCAGCACTTTGGGAGGCCGAGGCAGGCAGATTGCCTGAGGTCAAGAGTTCGAGACTAACCTGGTCAACATGGTGAAACCCAATCTCTGCTGTACAAAAAGAGCTGGGTATGGTGACAGGTGCCTGCAATCCCAGGTAGTCAGGAGGCTGAAGCCAGAGAATCGCTTGAACCCGGGAGGTAGAGGTTGCAGTGAGCCAAGATCGCACCACTGCACTCTAGCCTGGGTGACAGAGCGAGAACCCTTCTCAAAAGGAAGAAAAACAAAAGAAACTATTGGAACCTGGTACCGTTTTTGTGTGTGTGGAATGGTAGAATCTTGATAATTTTCTCCATTTCTGTTGTTAGAATTGGTCTGTTTAAACTTTCTGTTTCTACTGGCATCAATTTTGGGAACCTGCTTTTCCCTAGGAAGTTACCCATTTCACATGGTTTCACTGTTTATGTTTATAGATGTGTGCAAATAGCCAATTAAACAATTTTTCCTTTGTCAATAATTATTTACT
The DNA here is from genome assembly GCF_000001405.40 of Homo sapiens. Lineage (NCBI taxonomy): Eukaryota > Metazoa > Chordata > Mammalia > Primates > Hominidae > Homo > Homo sapiens. The sequence goes on from NT_187581.1 coordinate 111,800, forward strand.
CCTGGATGCTTGTTACTATTATTTATTATATTTGTGCTTCTACCATTTTTCTTTATTAGTGACCAGTGGTTTATTGATTTATTAATTAGGTCTATTTCTTTCTGTTTTCATGTTAATTTTTGACTCTGTTTTCTGTATCCCGTTTCCTTTAGTTTGTGTGTGAATTACTCTTTTGTTCTGTTTCTAGGTTTTAAGTTGGTAATGTAATTCACTTGTGTTCAGTCATTGCTTAAAATGAAGCATTTGAGAAGGTTCAAGGCTGTGAGAGGAGGCTGGAGTCTGAAATGAGATAGCTAGCATGAAATTCTTGGCCAATTTGACTAGGGGATTGTTAAGAGCAGGAATGTCCAACACACTGCACTATCAATTAGTTAAGATCATCTATTCGAAAGTTCAGCTGTGTTGTGCCTGTCCTCTGAGACTCTCAAATCCTCAGTAAAGGTCTCTGCACATAATTGACTTGTGCATTGGTATTTTGGAGAATGCAGGGAAAGGGTGTTGTTATAGTCCATGGTTAGGATGTCAGAGGACAGAAAGAAGAGAAGACATTTGAATGAAAGACCAGCTTGGGGGAGGAAAAATTCGGCAGGAAAAGGAGATGCGAGAGAGAAGAAATCATGGGAACGTGGTCTTTGGAAACTCACCAACAGGTTGAGGACTGAGCACTGAACTTCGCCCAGCAATTGGGACAGAAGATGGAAGAAATGTTATTCAAATATTAAGCGGACCTGCTGACTTCATAGAGACATCTTGGTTACCAGGTACTGCCTTTCACAAAACCCCACTCTCTCCAAAATGGGAAGTATTGTTCATACTTCTATCTCCATGGCATTGAGATTAAGATTCTATAAATAATCTAACCCTGGCACTCTTTTTTTTTTTTTGAAACGGAGTCTTGCTTTGTCGCCCAGGCTGGAGTGCAGTAGCAGGATCTCGGCTCACTGCAAGCTCCGCCTCCCGGGTTAACACCATTCCCTGGCCTCAACCTCCCGAGTAGCTGGGACTACAGGCGCCTGCCACCACGTCCAGCTAATTTTTTTTTTTTGTATTTTTAGTAGAGTCAGGGTTTCACCATGTTAGCCAGGATGGTCTCGATCTCCTACCTTGTGATCTGCCCGCCTCAGCCTCCCAAAGTGCTGGGATTACAGGCATGAGCCACCGTGCCCGGCCAACCCTGGCATTCTTGTACTCACTTCCACATTGTCTCGGTGGAGGTCTGCGGTGCTCTGATGGCACGAGACTGTGGGTGGGACATTGCAATCTCTACTTGAGAAGCTGGCCTTTATCAGTCCTTCTAAGTAGATCACTTGCAACCAGGAGTTTAACAGAGGCTCTTTGGTGATTGTGAAGTTGAAAAGTATTGGTATATTTTTCTTTTATTAATTATTCTAATCTTGGTTAAGTTACTAAACAAAACAAAAAAAGTGGTAAATGCTGCCCCTATGAACCTCTGAACAACTTCCCCACTTGTCTGTGTCGTAGCTTATCTTTCTCAGAAACCAGTTCCCCTTAATTCATTTTGTGCCTCTGGGCTGTAAGTGGCAATAACATGTGGGCATTCAGAGAGACTAGCTACAGTTGCCTTCACAGACATCATGACTTTGCTCCCTGCAGCCTCCTCCACAGAACAAGGAGGCATTAGTCATGGTAGGCATTGGTCACCTGTAGAAGGCCATTCCAGAGCCACTGCTGGAAGGTGAGCACACCAGTTCTTGATGCCACATCTCCTTGATACTTCTTGCAATAAACCATTGCTCAGCGTCTGTGATGTTCTGATACCTTGCAAGTATTTCAGTTCTTTTTTTTTTTTTTTTTTTGATGGAGTCTCGCTCTGTCACCCAGGTTGGAGTGCAGTGGCGCAATCTCAGCTCACTGCCAGCTCTGCCTCCCGGGTTCACGCCATTCTCCTACCTCAGCCTCCCGAGTAGCTGGGACTACAGGCGCTTGCCACCACGACCAGCTAATTGTTTGTATTTTTAGTAGAAACGGGGTTTCACCGTGTTAGCCAGGATGGTCTCGATCTCCTGACCTCGTGATCCTCCCACCTCGGCCTCCCAAAGTGCTGGGATTACAGGCGTGAGCCACCGCGCCTGGCCGTCATTTCAGTTCTTGCCTTTACCTCGAAGACAAGCCATGGAATCTCTGTACATCTCTGAAAAAGGAGCACCGAAGCATAACATTGCTCAACACCCACTTTCCCCGTAATTCCCACAAACACATCATTATGTCTTCTCCCTCTCCTACATTACAAGTAAAACACATCCAATCCATCTCTAGACATAAGATCAAGGTCATCTCCTCCTCATTTATGTGCCCAGGAAAATGTGTCTTTCTCGTATTCTAAGTTTCTTATCATGCATGACTAGTGCCTGGGTAATACAGTTGGTGAGCACATATTATTTGACCACAAATCCATGCTAGTCTCAAAATTGTTCTTTCTTTTTTACCCGGGGAGAATTTAGTTGCATTTTAGGAATGTCTGTCTGATAAAATTCAGAGTCCTGAATCCTAGGTCTAGCTCAAATATTGGTTTGAAGTGTGAGCCTGGTTGTCTTTAAGATGAGGAATAGAACCTCATGAGTACCACAATCTGCTTCCACTGTGAGGCTTCGTCCCTGGCAGGAAGTTCTGTGTGATTCTCATGCCAGGTGGTGCATCTCCCCAGAACTCAGGGCCCAGGGCAAAGACATAAGTGATGGAAACACTGGAAGCATGGGGTGCTGTCTTCATCCTTCTCTACACAGATGTTCACACTAAACCAGACAATATCTCAGAGCAGACGGCCAGGATGGATGAGTCTGTATACCCTGCAACGTTGCCAACAAACGCTGGGCAAAGGCTTACACACTGCACACTGGCAGGGGCCTTTAGAGAAATGTGGGGAGGGAGAGGGGTGAGGCATGGTAGGATAGAGCATTCTGGAAGGTTGAGCGGGTTGGGTTTGATGGGGACCATGCTGTGGTCCATCTTCTCCAGGCATTTCCGTGGCACTCCCGACAATGCGTCTCACTGCTTGAACTTTAGTCAGCACCTTCCTCTGTTAAGAGAAGCACAGTTACTCCTGAGCAGGAGTGTGTAAGGCTTTCCTGAGACAAGACTTTGTAATCACAGCACCGGCCAGATTCACATATTCTTCAAGGCTGAGTGCAGGCAGTGGGTCATGACTTCTTGTTGATTACATCCTTCTTTGAATTCCTATATTGTTTTTCTATAAATCATGTATTTTAATGTAAACTGTGGTCTGCCTTGGATTATTGAAATGCCTGGTGAATGTATCTAATTTCACTCTCTGGCCTTCAAGCTCCCAGGCTTGGCAGGCAGCATGTGCTACTCTCACTTCGTAGCCCTCTCTCCTCCCACGCGTGTACTCTCAGCACAGTGATCACGGTTGAGGGGTGTTTGGTAAGTACCTGCTGACTTATATTATGGTGGGTGATCAATTGACGATTGTGATCATGGAGAGGAGGGAAGAGAAGACGTTCTCCTGAGGAAAATCAGTCAACCTCGTGCGACGCACCTCAGCAAAGATGCTCGAGCCACTACACTTCCCCATTTGGCAAAGACAGCACTGACTTTTGATATCGAGTGGATCCGCGCTCTGGCTTGCCTCCTACTGAAGCTGGACTCCAGCATCTCTCTTGTCTGACTGCTTATTGGAAGCTCCCTGCCTACCTGTTGGGGAAATAGGTGTACACCCCCGACCCCTGGGAGCTGAAGGACTTTTATCTCATGTTTCTGTCTGGGTGTTTTATTGGTTGACATTTTACATTTAGATCTGCAATCCATCAAGAATAGACTCTTTATTGTTGTTATTGTATATGGTGAGAGGCAGGAAGCAGATTTTCCTGACAATATGCAGGTGTCTTTGGATTACAGGTCCAAAGCTCTCATACGGATGTTTGATTGTCTCAGCACCATGTGTTGAAAAGACTATTCTTTCCCCCCATACCGATTGATGCTCTTGTCACAGAAAAGCCGGCCGTATTTTCACACATCTCCTTATTTATCCTATTTTGTTCTGTTGGTCAAACTTTCTATCCTCACATCACTAGTATACTGAATAAGCCAGTACTGTGTTATAACACACCTGGGTATCTGCAGTAGCAAGTTACTTAGCAGTGTTTTTGTCAACATTACTTTGGTTATTCTTGGGTTTTGTATTTCCATCTAGATTTTAGAAATAGCTTATCACTTTTACAGGCACACACACACGCACACATTATGAGACTCCCGGTTAAAGCAGGCTCTGTGGTATTCCAGTCACTGAAAAGAAAGTGGGTATGTTTGTTTTCCTCTGAAAACAAGAATTACCATTTTGGGCACTGGTCAACAACATATTTTCAATGCTCTTCGAGTTTTTCTAATTGCATTTCTCTTGTTATGGTTGGCACTGTGATGGTGGCCACTTGGCCACCTTGCCCTAGTCAGTGTAGAAAAGTAGAAAGGCTCTTCTGTCAGACTGCACCACGTGTGCATGTCGTTGGATGCCTCCAAGGAGCTGATGAGGCCTGTGGGGTGGGTCAGGGAGGAAGCATGGTCCACAAAAGCGCCCATGATTGCCTGGCAGGAAAGCACAGAAATGATGCTCAGCAGTGAGCGACTGCTGTGACATTGGTGGTAATGATGATGTCATTGCCTAACATCGCCTTTGCCATCCAGGAGTGGGAACCAGACAACCGTATTGCAGTCTTGTTTCTGCCTTCATGACCCTCTGTTTCTTTATCTAAAAACTGGCTTCAGAAATAATTATTTCTACTGATTAACATATGTCATAATGAAATGACTTAGGTTAAAATGACTAACAGGGTCCCTGGAACATTGTGGTCCATTATGATATATTACTTTTCCAAAGCCCCTTTGGGGATTCAAACCATTCACTTTTCCTCTATAGCAATATCAGGCAGTATAAATATGTACAAATCAGTAATCAGCACCTGGAGAAGCTGGTGTCCTGTCCTAGGACTCTCCTAGCTCCTGAAACATATGTTTAACTGTGGAAGCAATAACAGGAGGGATGTATTTACACCTCCTCACAGGTGAGGTCCAGCTGCTCGTGGTGGCATGTGTGGGTTCCTGGGAGAGCTGAAACAAGTATGTAAAGTAACCATGTCAGAGGCCCTTGCTGCCCCCTCTCCAGAGCCACTTTACTGAGCTGGCCCATGTCTCAGATGCTGTCTGCTACATCTGCATTTTTCTCTGGAGGGCTGCTCCTTGCAGATGAAGGCTGCCTGCCAGGAGACACCACTGGGGCTGTCCGAGGCCACTGGCCACTCGTGCCAAAGTATAAACTTCCAATCTCTGTCCCAATATGGGGCAGGATTTGTGATGCACTTGGTGCCCCAGAACTCCTCATGAGACGGGACTGAGGCAGGACTTTGGAAGTGATGTTGATATGGTTTGGCTGTGTCCCCACCCAAATCTCATCTTAAATTGTACCTCCCGTAATTCCCACACGTTGTGGGAGGGACCTGGTGGGAGATAATTGAATCATGGGGGGTGGTCTTCCCCATACTCTTCTCATGGTAGTGAATGAGTCTCATGAGATCCGATGGTTTTATAAGGTGACACCCCTTTCACTAGGTTCTCATTCTTTCTCTTGCCTGCTGTCATGTAAGATGTGCCTTCACCTCCTGCCATGATTGTGAGGCCTCCCCAGCCACGTGGAACTGTGAGTCCATTACACCTCTTTTTCTTTATAATTTACCCAGTCTCAGGTATGTCTTTATCAGCAGTGTGAAAATGGACTAATACAGTAAATTGGTACCGGTAGAGTGGGGTGCTGCTGTAAAGACATCTGAAAATGTGGAAGCGACTTTGGGACTAGGCAAGCAGAAGTTGGAACAGTTTGGAGGGCTCAGAAGAAGACGGGAAAATGTGGGAAAGGTTGGAACTTCCTAGAGACTTGTTGAATGATTTTGACCAAAATGCTGATAATGATATGAACAATGAAGTCCAGGCGGAGGTGATCTTAGATGGAGATGAGGAACTTGTTGGGAACTGAAGTAAAGGTGACTCTTGCTATGTATTAGCAAAGATACTGGTAGCATTTTGCCCTGCTCTGGAGATGAGTGGAACTTTGAACTTGAGGGTGATGATTTAGGGTGTCTGGTGGAAGAAATTTCTAAGCAGCAAAGCCTTCAAGAGGGCACTTGGGTGCTGCTGAAAGCATTCAGTTTTAAAAGGGAAACACAGCATAAAAGTTCAGAAAATTTGCAGCCTGATGATGCAATAGAAAACACCCATTTTCTGAGGAGAAGTTAAAGCAGCATGCAGAAATTTGCATAAGTAATGAAGAGCCAAATGTTAATCACCAAGACAATGGGGAAAATGTGTCCAGGGCATGTCAGAGAACTTTGTGGCAGCCCCTCCCATCACAGACTTGGAGGCCTAGGAAGAAAAAATGGTTTCATGGACTGGGCCCAGGGCCCCCTGCTGTGTGCAGCCTAGGGACTTGGTGCCCTGCCTCCCAGCCACTCTAGCTATGGCTAAAAATGCCAAGGTACAACTCAGGCCATGGCTTCAGAGGCTGCAAGCCCCAAGCCTTGGCAGCCTCCACATGGTGTTGAGCCTGCAGGTGCACGGAAGTCAAAAATCGAGGTTTGGGAACCTCTGCCTAGATTTCAGAGGATGTAGGGAAATGCCTAGATGTCCAGGCAGAAGTTTGCTGCAGGGTGGAATCCTCATGGAGAACCTCTTCTAGGGCAGTGCAGAAGGGAAATGTGGGGTTGAAGCCCCCACAAAGAGTCCCCACTGGGGCACTGCCTAATGGAGCTGTGAGAAGACGGCCACTGTCCTCCAGACCCCAGAATGGTAGATCCACCAACAGCTTGCACTGTGCACCTGGAAAAGCTGCAGACACTTAACACCAGCCTGTGAAAGTGGCCAGGAGGGAAGCTGTACCCTGCAAAGGGGCAGAGCTGCTGAAGACCATGGGAACCCACCTCTTGCATCAGCATGACCTGGATGTGAGACATGGAATCAAAGGAGATTATTTTGGAGCTTTAAGATTTGACTGCTCCACTGGATTTAGGACTTGCATGAGAGCTTTAGACCTTTTGGGTTGGCCCATTTCTGCCATTTGGAATGGTTATCTTTACCCAATGCCTGTACCATTGTATCTAGGAGGTAACTAACTTACTTTTGATTTTACAGGCTCATAGGTGGAAGGGACTTGCTTTGTCTGGGGTGAGACTTTGGACTGTGGACTTTTGAGTTAATGCTGGAATGAGTTAAGACTTTGGGGGACTGTTGGGAAGGCATGATTGGTTTTGAAATGTGAGGACATGAGATTTGGGAGGTGCCAGAGGTGGAATGATATGTTTGGCTGTGTCCCCATCCAAATCTCATCTTTAACTGTAGCTCCTGTAATTCCCACATGTTGTGGGAAGGACCCGGTGGGAAATAATGGAATCATGGGGGCAGCCTTCCCCATACAGTTCTTGTGGTAGTGAATCAATCTCATGAGATCTGATGGTTTTATAAAGAGACACCCCTTTCGCTGCTTGGCTCTCATTCTCTCTCTTGCCTGCTGTGATATAAGATGTGCCTTTTGCCTTCCACCATGATTATGAGGCCCCCCCGCCATATGGAACTGTGAGTCCATTAAGCCTCTTTTTCTTTCTTTTTTTTTTTATGATTTACCCAGTCTCAGGTATGTCTTTATCTGCAGTGTGAAAATGGGCTAATACAGACGTGTTTACTTCATCTCTTTCTCTCTTACCTTGCCTCCCTCACTCCAATGCAGGCATTTCCTCAGGGTACTTTCTCAGTAAGATGCTTGCCCAAGAATCCCATCTCAGCCTCTAGGGAAGCTCACCTAAGACCAGATAGAGGGTCAAAAGTCTGACTGAAGAAGTAAGACTTCCAACAACTACCTGTGCATTTCCAAACACCCTCATACTTTGCCTTCAGCAGTCAAAGTATCTGGATGTTGCTCTCAGCTTTGCTTGTCAGCATTCGGCATTTATTTTTAAAGAGGCCACAGGGATGAGGAGAAGTCACCTGATTTACCTTTTGCTCACAGCCCTCTTAGGGCAGCAGGGTCAAGGGCACACACAGAGGGTCTTTTGGGGTGGTGGGCAGTGTGGTATCAGGGAGATGTTTAGCCTTTGAGTCAAAAATCTTTATGTTAGGCCATTGGCCCATTACTCCTTAGCATGGGAGTAATTTTCCTATCTACAAATTGGGAATGTAAATATTCACCCTAAGGTGTTTTTCAGAGACCTACTTGAAATAATGAATATATTTGCACTTTTATATTATAAAATGTTAATGTAAATGTGAGAGTTTCTTTAAGTCATATACTTCAGACTGCAGTGGGTTGGTTATAGGCTAAACGTCTTTGTCATCACTGGGTAATTAATGCCAATGGTTCCCTAAAATGGTCCTATTAATTTACATTTCCACCAGCAGCACATGCTCCTAACAGTGCTGGATGGCTGAGATGCTTGCTTCTGCTTGGCTCACTTCTTGTATTAGGATTATACATCCCGACCTTTGTTACACAACCTTGTGATCTCTCCCTCTAGAGGAGGCACAACACACGTCCCCACCCAGTTGATGCTGGGTTTGAACTATGGAGTGGTAGCAGATGTATTGTGGGCGAGGGCCTTCAATCTGCTTGCCTGGCTTGGTTTAGCCAGTGTTCTCTGGTGGTCCCCCCCGGGAAGCACAACCATTGCTGCAACTGCCCCTTCGGCCTGGGGGCAGAACTGACCCCCAAGGTAAGCCTGGAGTCCAGGCTAGCTCAGCCTAGATGAGTTGAATCATAATCGGCTTGCAAACTGTTGAGAGTGAATATAAATACGGGAAATGATTGAGATTTTGAGATACAGGAGTCTGCCCGCATCAATGGTTTCACTTTCCACAGCTTCAGTTACTGTGGTATGAAAATATTAAGGTATTTTGAGAGAGAGAGAGAGTCCACATTCCCATGATTTTTATCACATTTTATTGTTGTAATTGTTAAATTGCTCTCTTATATTATCAGTTGCTGTTGATCTCTAACTGTGCCTAATTTATAAATTAAACTTTATCATAGACATGTGTATGTACAGGAAAAAAACAGTATATAGAGAGCACAGTACTACCTGCGGTTTCAGGCATCCCACAGGGGTTTTGGAACATATCACCTATAAATAAAGGGGGGCGGGAGACGCTAATGTAATTTGCTATACATCAAAAACCGACAAATACATTCTGTTAACTTTAGAGAAATAAACTATCAAGGTGTCATAACATGGAACACGGGAAATTGGTGAAAAATGAATAAAATGTAGTTATGTGTGTCTGCATGAACAAATACCCCAAACACAACATTATATACAAAAGCAAGTTTTAGTATAATATAATCGCATTCACAAAAAGTTTTAAAATAAAAATAATACCTATATGTGGTAAAAAATGTTATAAAACGACTAGTGGTAGTTATACCTTGGGAAAATGAATCATTCAGGAGTTGGTGATCGGGGATTTAGGCATCGTGGCAATGTTTTATTTTTCAAGCTGTGTGATAAGCCTATAGGTTATCATGTTATTATTCTTGTGCATGTTATACTCTTCAATATTACATACTGAATTTTGAAATATAAGAATGTAAGTTTTTGAGATAAGTTTTATGCCTATGAAGTGTTATCCAAATGTTAATCATACATGTTATTTTTGAGTCTTGGTCATGTAGGCATGTGTTGGTAGGAAGTGTGATGTTTTTCATTCTGCCTAGATTGTATTTTGGTCCACACCCATGCTAGTTCTGTTGGACTAAAGAACTCACTCAGGAGGTTGAGTCTTTACCACTAGAAGTCCTCACGAGGACTTCTCCTGGAGATCAAAACTCATAAAACATTTTCTGGGTTCCCTCTTCTCCCTCATCCCACCCGAAGGTGCATAGGGCACTGTTGTCAGTAGAATCACCATGTTCTCTACTGGCTGGACTCACCCTGCAATCAGCTGACATGAGATGACAAAATTGAGACTGTTCTTATCTTGGATTTGTTGAGATCGCTCACGTTTTTTATTCTCCCATCTGTTTGGTCTGGGAAGTACAGGAATTAAAACTTACATTTTTTGCACCTTATTGAACTTGTTTTAGGTTTAATCTACTTTTCCTTTTCTAGATTCTTCATACAGAAGCTTAGATAATTCATTGCAGACCATCTTCTGTTTTTCAGTCAGCATATAAATTTCTATCTTAGCAGTGCTTCAGCTGCACACTACAAATCGTGAAGTGTCGTGTTATTATTTTCATATGGTTCAAAATGTTCTCTAATTTCCCCTGATTTATCCTTCAACTTACAGGTTATTTATAAGGATGTCATTGAAGTTCCAAATAATTGGTGATTTTTGAAGTATATTGTTGTTGGTTTTTAATCTAATTCTGCTGTGCTCAGAGAACATACTCCACAAGACTTTGGTGCTGTTAAATTTATTGATATTTATTTCATAAACCAACATATAGTCTGTCTTCTTCTTCTTTTTTTTTTTTTGAGACAGAGTTTCGCTCTTGTTGCCCAGGCTGGAGTGCAATGGTGCGATCTCGGCTTACTGCAATCTCTGCCTCCCGGGTTCAAGCGATTCTCCTGCCTCAGTCTCCCGAGTAGCTGGGATTACAGGCACCTGCCCGGCTAATTTTTTTATATTTTTAGTAGAGACAGGGTTTCACCATGTTGGCCAGGCTGGTCTTGAACTCCTGACCTCAGGTGATATGCCTGCCGTGGCCTCCCAAAGTGCTGGGATTTCAAGTGTAAGCCACCATGTCCAGCCCATGTAGTCTTTCTTGGTGAAGATTATATGCATATTTGACAATAATACGCATCCTGTTCTTGGAGGACAGAGTGGTCTGTAAATGTTGATTAGGCCATGTTGTTTGAGAGACTTGCTGAATTCTTCAATACCACTATGGATTCTCCGTCTATATGTTCTATCAATTACTGAGAAAGGAGTACTTCAATCTCCAAATATAATTGTAAATTTGTCTACCTCTCCTCCCACTTTGTCAAATTTTGCCTCATGTATTTTGAATCTCTGTTATTTGGTTGCATACACATTTAGAATCATTATGTCTGCTTGGTTTATTTACCCCTTTATTATTATAAAATGTTTTTGGGCCCTGACGTAGCCCTTTTCTTTTTCTAGCTTTTCTGGTATTATCTTTGCCACTCAGAGCTCTCATGTGCAATGTTCCCATGGTGTATCATTTTCTGCTCACTGACTTTTAACATTTCTGTGTGTTTATGTTTAACACGATTTTCTTATAGACACCCCATACTAGTGTCTTGGTTTCTCTTTATAATCAATTCTAATAAACACTTTTTTATGGAAGTATTTAGACTATTTTGATCTAATGTTATTAATATTTTTCAGTCTTAAAACTGTTGTCTAGCTCTATTTCTTTTTATTCTTTGTTTTGGTTTTTATTATAAAAAGTAAATACTCATTAAGTATTTAATATTTATTAATAATTCCACTGTATCTTCACTGTTGGTTTATTAGCTATATCATCTTGCTTTAATTATTTAAGAGTATTTAGGAATTACATGTGTACCTGGGCTTTTCTTTGTGTGAAGTTTTTTTTTATTACTAATTCACTATCTCCTCGTTATAGATATAATCCAATTTTCTATTACTTTTGATGTTGTTTTTGACAGTTTATCACTTTCCAGAAATATTTTCCATCTCATCTAAGTTGTCTACTTTGTTGCACACAATTTTTTATGGTATTTCTTTATCATTCATAGAGAATTCTGTAAGGTTGGGATTGACTGTCCCCTATTCTGTTAATGATTTTAATTATTTGAGTCTTCTTCCTTATTTTCTTAATCTGTTTAGCTAAAGATTTGCCAGTTTTTGTTCATCTTTTTCAGGAACCAACTCTGGTTTCATTAATGTTCTGTATTGTTTTTCTATTCTCTAGTTCATTTATTTGCCATCTAAACTTCACTATTTCCTTGTTTTTTTTTTCTGTTTTTTTGTTTTTGTTTTTGTTTTTGTTTTTGTTTTTTTTACTAATATATTAAGGTGTATGATTAGGTTATTGGTTTGAGATAATTTTTCTTTTTTAAATAGAGTAGATTAACAGCTGTTAATTTCTATCTAAACACTGCTCCAGCTGTACACCATAAGTTCTATTACGTTGCATATTCATTTTTATTTACCTCAAGTTGTTTTCTAATTTTTCTTGTGATTTTTTTTCTTTGATCCATTGGTTGTTTAAGACTGTGTTGTTTAATTTCCACAAATTTGCAAATATTTGTTTTTCTTCTGTTATTGAGCTCTAACTTTATTTCATTATGGTCAGAGAAGATACTTAGCATGATTTTGCTGTTTTTAAAATTATTGAGGCTTGCTTTGCAGCTCACCATTTGGTCCACCATAGAGAATATTCCAACTGCACTGGAGAAGAACAGGTGGTCTACTGGGTGGAATGCTCCACATTTGTTTGTTAGGGCTAGTTGGTTTGTAATGTTTTCAAGTCTTTTGTTTCTTTATTGATCTTGTTGAGTTTTTCTACACATTTTGAAAGCTGAGTATTGAAGCCCACAACTACTGTTGTTGAGTTGTCTATTTCTCCTTTTCTCGTTGTCAGGTTTTGATTCATGTAGTTTGGCACTCTGTTATTACGTGTACATGTTTGAAATTGTTATGTCTACCTGGTGATTAACTCTTTTATCATTATAAAATGTCTTGTCTTTCCCTAAGAATTTTTGTGTCAAATTCTATTTTGTCTGATATTAGTATAAGCATTCCAGCTCTTTTTGATGACTATTTGCATGCTGTATCTTTGCTTTTAATCTTCGGGTGTCATTGAATCTCAAGTGTTCAACTTGTAGACACAAGATAGTTGAGTTTTTTTTTTCATTTATTCTGCCAATTTTTGCCTGTTTATTAATATGTTTAGTCTATCTATATTCAAAGTATACATTTAATATTCACCCCCATAATACATTGTTAGTGTTTTGGCTTTAAATATTGACATTTTAAAATGAGAAGCCTACTTTCATAATGTAAGTCATGATTTCAGGGACTTTTTTTTTGTTTTTGTTTTTGTTTTTTTTCTGTTGATACCCTAGTTCTATCTAAATAACTTTATTTACCTTTACTATAGTGTATCCTTGCTGGCAACATATTTCTTCAGCTTTAATATGTTTGAAAAATGTATTATTTACCTTCCTAGGGATATTTTACTGGATAGAGAATTCTAGAAGTATGTCTATGTTTCTTTTAACTCTTTTATTATGTTGTTCCATTGAATTTTGCCTTACCTAGTTTCTAACCACATAGCTATGGCCTTTCTTGTATTTGGTCTATTGTAAGTAATATGATTTTATTTCTTGATATTTTAAAGATTTCTCTTTATCATTATTTTATGATGTAAACTTGCTTTGATTTGGTCTTTTGGTTTGTTTCTTTTATTTTGTTTTTCTGCGTGGAATTCTTGGCTGTATAGTCCCATTGTTTTTATCAAATTTTAAATACTCTCTGTGGTTATTTCCTCCTATATTTCGTTTTCTACCTCCTCTCATTTGGGTTTCCTATTATGTATACATGAGCCCCTTTGCACTGTTTCCTAAATACCTGTCATTCTGCTTTTCTTTCCTACTCTTTTAATTTTCCCTGAATTGATTTGGGATAGGTTATATTGTTACAAGTTTAAGTTTACAATCTTTTCTTCTGCACTGTCTAATCTGCAGTTATTCCTATTTCTATCTCTAGATGCTCCACGTGGTTCATTTTTATGTTTTGCTTTTCCCCTCATTATATTGATGTTTGCCTTTAAACTGTTGCGTGTATTCAGTGTGTGTATTACAGCGTTTTCCTAACTTTGTCTGCTAATTTCATCATGCCCGTCTCATTTCTGAGTCTTTCTGCTGATTGAATTTTCATTTGGTCATGGATCACGTTTGCTGTTTTTTGCCTGACCAGTTGTTTTTTATTGGCTGAGTACTGTATTTTGTTGTATTCCTAGAAAGAGTGGTGGACTTAGTTCTTGTAAACTTAGGTTACTGGTTCGTCAGTTTTATTTCTCAAACTGATGCATGTCTGTATACCTGTCTTTTAAAATGTCTAGAATGCATTTCAGGGAGGCCTTACTCTGCTGAATATCACCTTTGTTCAATGTCGTCTCTTCACGGTGGCTAATTGGCACTTGAACCTTTCTCAGTCCTCTGTAAGCTGTGGGTGTTTTATAGCTAATGTATTTTCCTTCTTCAGAAGTTATTTTTTGTTTAGACTCTTGATGTTTCTCCCTATGGGTATGCAGATTGGAATATCCAAATACTACAGGGGAAGCTATACAGATTTCTTGGCATGGCTTCTTTCGTACACTGCTCTGCAAATTCTAGTTACTCTGGTCCCTCAAAACTCTGATCTCTGTCTCCTCAGCACAGTGATTCTTCTGGGCTCTGTTTGGCTTCGTCTTCTGCTGTGGTCCTAAAATTACCTCCAGATATAAAGCCAGAGTACATGTAGTGCTCACTTCCTATGTTTTCTTGTCTTGAGGATTAGTCACCCATTGCTTTCTGTCCAGTATATAAAATTTATTGTTTTATACATTTCATGCACCCCTGTAGTTGTTTATGGTTGAGATTAACTTTGAAATCTACAAGATACTTTTAAATAAAGGACATCAAACTCCAATTCAAAACACGTGTGTTCTGTCTCTATCCACAATCACAGATATATTTCTAAAATACGTGTTTCTAAACATCTACATCCTACTTGTTGGCTTCTGTGTGCCATCCTCAGGAGGCCTTTTCTCATATCATGGGCTGGGCCTGCCTCTCTGCCATATACATTTTACACTCTGGATCTCATGTTTGCTATCCGTATCCCACTTGTACTAACGTGTTGAGTGTCTCCCTAAGAGACTGTGAGCTCTGAGAGGGCAGAAGACGTTGTGTCAGTCTTGTGCCCCTGCTCTCCCTGCAGAGCCCAAAACATGGCCTTGTGCCTAGGCTTACAACAAATATTTATGAAATCCATACGTATACATAAGAAACAAATGTGTTATCAATTAATATTACCAGTTTAGTAGCCTTGGAAAATGTCTCATAAAAACTTTATGTCAGAGTTTCCCTTATCTGGAAATCAAAGAGATGAGCGAATATCATTAAAGTTTTTTATACTCTAAAATTGTTTCTCCGATTTTCTTTGATTTTCACAACTATCTGCTGAGAAAGAAAGATACTCATTTTAATTTTCAGATTATAAGTGAGAAAAACATTTTTCAAAAGGATTAAGCAATCTGTTTAAAATTGCATAGCTAATTAGTAAAAAGGCTTGGGCTCAAAGTTGTTTGACTTTATACTTTATTTCGAGAAATACATTATTATATGGAGAAATCCCTTCTACTGTAGCTTAACTCCTCCTTTAAAAAAGGAAAACAAGCAAACACAAAAAATCTTTGTGTTTATATCCTGCTTCTTCAAGAGATTGTGAGCTTCTTGAAGGCCAGAGCTGTAAATTATATATTTTTGTGATTTCCCCAAAGTCTCAAATGTGTTCTACACAGTGCAGTAAATAATTTGATATAATTCTCTGCAGGAAAATTGATCCAGTGCTGAAAACCAGTAAACAATTCTCATTAACTGTCTCTGTACCTCATGTGTCACACAGAATTTGTCCTATGGTAAGTGATTAAACCTGGTTGTTAAAGCAATGAATGATTTATCTAGCAGAATGTCAAGTTTTGAAGCCCTCCCACCTGGACCCTTTAGCCTCAAGGCTGCCATACCACAGCCCAGGTTCTGTTGAGAAAGATGTTGCCGGACAGTCTAGGTACGGGTGTAGAATTTGCCCTTCCTAATTTGTTTATCCTCTTCCAATCTTCATTGCATCCTTTATCTGGTAGCAGATTATTTTTTCAGGGGTTAAAACTTCATGTGCTTTCTAGGACTAGATAGGTAACATGAATGTGTAAATCTGTGGTCATAAAACAATAGGGTGGGACGATTCCTGTAGCAAACTAGAGCTGAGAAGGCCCTATGCATAGGTAAAAACAAATTTTAAATGCTAAAATCACCCCACCTTCCTGAGCAAATAAAATGTCTGTGCATCAAGCTAAGCCTGGGGCCCGCAAGTTCATGTCCCCTGCTTGGGGTCATTCCACACCTTTGCTCAGATGTTTGCCGTGTACTCCACCCGGCTACACAGACACATTCAGACTTCTCAGCTGGGCACACAGGCTGCTCCGAAGTCTGGTCTCAGCCCAATTTCCCAGCTGCTTCTCCCCTCTGCTCCCACACACAGCCTCCCACACTCCTGTCCACCTCTACTGTGGGCTGTCCCTGAGCCTGACACTGTGCATCTCACCTGCTGGTCTGCTCTGCTAGACGGGTAACATGAATGTGTGAATCCGCTGGCCTGCTCCGTGCTCTGCATGCTGGAATCTGACTGTTGGAATCCTGGGTTGCCTCAGCTGCGCTCTCCACAATGAGGCCTTTTCGACTGACTCCTGCAGGGTGCATGTGGACCTTTCCCTTTGGTTTGCATAGCCCTGGGAGGCTATTTATTTTCACTCTCGAAGCCATTTTCTGTACCTTCACCACCAGTTTACACTTCAGGAAACTAAGACATTGAAAGCTAAGTGAGCTGACCAAGGCTGCATTTTGAGAAATGGCTTTTCTTTACCAGTACCTGCACACTTGATAACTGCATACCTTCCCTACTGGTTTAAAACTATCTGTGGGCCCTTGTCCAATGTTTGTACTGTCCACAGCACTTTTCACAGTGTTTGGCACACTGTAGATGATCAGTGAATGTCTGAAGGTCGAATGGAGTTTATGCTGAATAGGTGTGCGTCTGTGTGTGTGTGTGCGTCTGTGCGTGTGTGTGTGTCTGCATTTCAGGTAATAGAGTCTCATTATTCCTTCACAAAGGCATTGGTATTTGGAATTGACATCCAGAGCTGGTTTCCTTCAAACTCATTTTTTACCTTGATTTCCTCAGTGATGATGATGACATACACCCATTGGCCCATCTCTATCTTTAACTCACCACTGGATCCATCCTTTTCTCTTTCTTTTAACCTGCTTGAATGCAAACCAAGCCTTTGATGCAACGACAGCTTTGCTGATGTACGTGGTGTTGGTGACGTCATGGTTTCCTAAGTAACAATCAATCTGCTGTGCTAAAACTCTACGGAAGAAAGCCATTAAAAAGGATTGTGTGAGTGGTGTGTGTGTGTGTGTGTGTGTGTCTGTGTATACCTGAAAACAAACACACTAAGTGTCCATGCACACACACTGGTCATCTTTTTAAAGAATATCATCAACAAAATTTCACTGTAGCAGCATCAGTGAGATGAGTCCCAGTGGATGAAGTGGTTTCCATGGAAATGTGTTATTGTGCTTTGGAAAAGCAGCTTGTTCTGCACATGAGAAAGATGTAAAATAGGGGCTCAAATCCCATGTGAACTCACACCACTGCAAATATAGCCTCTAAGCACCTGGAACAGGCAAAGGCAGAGGCTGGAGTTTAAGAAATAGGGTCAGTTCCACCAGCATGCCCGGGACCTTGGCTGTTGTCATTTACTTGTTCCTTGTTGTCAGAGACCCCAGAAGCTGGGAGCTCTCCGAGATTAGGCACTGCACCTTGAGTCACGATGGTTGTTATTATTTTGTATTACTTATCAGCCATGTATAAGTGCTTTACATATATTATCTCATTTAGTTATCACACAGCCTTAAATGCGAGTTAGGTTCTTAAGTCCTTTCTGTAGTTAGGGAGGTTAGAACTATGTTTAATTGCCTTGGGGCCTTGCTAATGCCTGGCTGCTGGTAGGTGTTTAGATGGATAAATGGATGCAGGAGTGAATGAGGGAGCAAGGGAAGATGTGGCAGAAAAGGCAGGTTGTTACTGGGAAGTCTCTGCCCAAGCCTGGGGAGCAGGGTACAGGATCGGAACCATCAGACATTCATGCTGATAATGGGGGCCGAGGAGCTTGGGGACTGAATGGCTTGACCAAATCTTTCCAGCACCTCCCTAGAATATTGGTTGACAGCCCCCAAGAGAACAACCTGTTTAGGTCAGCTGAAGCTGAACCACTCAATCTCAATTCATAAGTCCACCGAGGAATACATTTTTTTTTCTCCAGCAAGCTTTAATACAAGAGGCCTGAATTCTCAGCCATAGAACCTGTTCTCAGCCTGTTTTTCTGGCTCTGGCTGAGCCCCAGCCAGATAGAAGATATTTCTGAACATGGAGGGTGGTTTAGGAGCTGTCAGCATCTAGTTCACAGAAATGGCCAGGAGGTGTTCAAATACCAGAGCAGAGGGGACAGTGGGAAGAGACATTTTCAGCAACTATGGGCTCTTCCTCTGAGATTAAAAAAATACAAAAGGCAAAACTCCTTTTTTGCTCGATGTTGATAAGAATGTACACTTTTGGCAGGGTGTGGTGGCTCACGCCTGTAATCCCACCACTTTGGGAGGCCAAGGCGGGTGGATCATCAGGTCAGGAGATCGAGACCATCCTGGCTAACATAGTGAAACCCCATCTCTACTAAAAATACAAAAATTAGCTGGGCATGGTGGCGCATGCCTGTAATCCCAGCTACTCGGGAGGCGGAGGCAGAAGAATCCCTTGAACCAGGGAGTTGGAGGTTGCAGTGAGCCGAGATCACGCCACAGCACTCTAGCCTGGCAACAGAGCGAGACTCTGTCTCAAAAAAAAAAAAAAAGAATTTACACTTTCTTCCATTATTACTGTGCCTTAGGACAGCAAAAAGGCACCACCCAGATTGAATGTGGTCTTGCTCAACCCAGGGGTACAGAGCACTATGGCTGTCTCTCCTTCAGCCACAGAAGGTGGGGTTCACGTCCCCCACTGAACCAGGCCAGGCCCAGCCGCTTAAGGTGTAAACCAGGGAAAGACCTGGTGCTGCCAATTAGTGCATGCATGGGACGTGCATCCCTCTAGCTCCTCACTGTGATTTCATGGTTCCATTCCATCCAAGACTCCTCAGCACAACTCGCCGTCCTCACCCGGGATGTGACAGAGGAGCCTGAGAGCAGCCAGGACAGAGGGAGCTGCGGGACCCAGAGGGCCAGTTCCTGCTTCTGGAGAAGCAGCCAAGGGGGCTGTTCCTTCCTCTCCAGACAGCTGCTGGGGTCCAGGCCATGGTGGAGAGAGGAACAGAACCATGCTTCTGATATTTTATAGTGTAAAAATCAGGGAACATTTTTAGGCCATTGCTATGGTCAAAGTTCTGGTGAGGTTATTTTTTTATTAACTGACAAATAATGATTGTATATATTTTGGGGTACAATGGGATTTTTTGGCATACACATACATTGTGGAATGTTTGAATCAAGCCAGCTGACATATCCATCACCTCACATACTTAACATTTTTTTGAAGTGGGAACGTTTAAAATGTACTCTTTTAGCAATTGTGAAATATATAATTATTATTAACTATCGTTCTTTGCTGTGCAGTAAGTCACTGAAACTTATTCTCGGGTGAGGTTTCTTGATCAAATCTTGCCTTAAATATTCTTACAACCTATGTGGTAGATGGGTATATAAAAGCTAAATGTTTTCAGGAAATAATACATGGTTGAATTTAGGCCAAAATCAAGTTCTTCAAGTGATTCATCTTCATTTCAGCTGGAAATTCTGTGTTTCAAATCCCTGTCTTTGGCCCTTCCTGTTTTCATGGGGCCTAAGGGAAGCCTATTCATGGAACCCAAGAACGTTCTTCGGCTTCCAGTTTTGCAATGTACTTCGCACTCTGCTCTTTCTCAGTGTGCTCTGCTAATAAAGTCTCTCCCCAGCTGCCTCATCTGTGCTCCAGCACAGCCAATGCCAGGCAACAATGGTGGATGTGCACCTGCACCTGCTCAGGTCTCCTCCTACTGCGGTGAAGAGGAAGACACCTGCAGAGACCTGCACATCTGGATGGGCAAGGCCATGTCCAGTCTGGCCTCTGTGTCCTTGGACCGTGAGGTTTCTCCTCCTCCTTGTCTCCTCGAGCCAAGCCCATGCAGGATGATGGGGCTGGGCTATCCAAGCCCACTACGTCCACCCAGGGAATTGCTTTGTTTTCTGTGGGAACAGAATGGAAGGACTTTTATTTCTAGAAGACATTATCTCATCTCCTATATTAATCCGAGATGTATTAATGACATTTTTGACCCAAAAATATGCCTTTGAAATGAAGCAGTTATCTATTGAAGAAACTTTATTTCTAACGGAGAACAGAGCTGGACTCTGACAAGTTCCAGAGTGTCTCAGGAAATAGCAAATCTATCCTGGAATAGGAGCAAGAGAGCTTTGAAAGCAAAGAGCTGAGGATTCCAGCTGCAGGAGGCACTCTAGGGAAGGCGGCTGGAGCCAAGCCAGTGTCATCTGCCAACAGTGGCCACATTCTTAGGACAGACCAGGGAAAAGGAGGCCTTTCTGGTAACCTTGTTCACCCCAAATCTTCATTCCTACTTGCTGAGATTTTTTAAGTACCAAAATATCTGTGATTCTAGATGTTGACATAAAAATAGCCTTCAAGCTTCACCCAGTCCTTGGGGGCTCTATGCAGCAAAGTAAGCTGGTGAGGAAAGGCTGGCTGAGCTTCCTCTGGGAGCCGGGGCAGATGCTCATTGCCAAGTGTGGGGAGGCGATCCTGGAATGGGTCCAAATAAACATTCAATAAACTTGTCAGCCCGCTGTGGGGGTCCCTGCGAAGGACAGGCATCTCCCCTGTTTGCGGTGTCCTGGCAGTGACCTCACTTACTTCATGAGGGGCTGCCCCAGCACCTCCTACCACGGCCACGTTTCTGCCCAGGGAGCGTGTCATCGGGGGCTCCAGCTGTGCTGATTTTTATTTTGTGGCAGGAAATCAGCACTCCCCAGGCACCGCGTGGGCTGGGTAAGGGTGGAACGGTTCAGGGGAAGAGCAGAGCTCACGTCTGGAGTATGAGTAAATCTCCGACCCTCATGTCTGTCTGATTTTGTTTTTAAGAGTTTTGGGGAAGCTGGTATTCAGGATGGGTCCTGACTGGCAGTGAGCAGCACCTGCGGGCACTCGGGAGGGAGCAGGGAGCAGGTGGAGAGACGGAGCAGGAGGTGGACCAGACAGAACAGGAGGCGATGAGGAAAGCGAGGGGAAGACAGGGATGAGAACGGGGCAGACAAGAGGCAGAGGAAAGAAATGGGAACTAAAAGGGAAAAGGGAGGCAAGAAAGGATCAGAAAGTGTACTGTGTGGAGGACATGAGGGAAAGTCAGGGAGAATGCAAGGAGACAGCTCTGCCCGAAAGGTGAGATAAAAAGAACCGATGGCAGAACCTGAAATGTGAAAGGAAATGTGAATAAAACAGAAGGAAGAGTGGCTCGTCTGAGTGCGGAGAGCGGGAAAGCAGCCAGCACGTGAGTGTGCTCACGGCCGGGGATCGGGGGGATGCAGGGGCTGGACGATGCCCCTTCCCTGCTGCCCACATTTTGCTCATCTGAGAAGCTCCACAGCTGAGGTAGATGACCAGGCGGAGACAGGTGGAACTCCTCCCACCCATCCCCAGGCTTCCTCGTGGTGGCCAGGCTGACATGTCAGTAGTGAACCCCGAGGCTCCTTCTCCAACTTTGTCTCTGGCATAGAGATCATCCAGGGGCCGGAACGCAGCCTCTTCCTGAAGGTGAACTGAGGCTACATCCTTCAATGGCCCAGGAGCACCTGTTGAGGTGGGCATGCCCTCCTTGAGTGCTGGCAGGCTCTAAGCCTCTGCATGCTGGCTCAGAAGTGCACCTGAATGGCCGGGAGCAGCGGCTTATGCCTGTAATCCCAGCACTTTGGGAGGCCGAGGTGGGGGGATTGCCTGAGCTCAGGAGTTCACGACCAGCCTGGGCAACATGGTAAAACCTCGTCTCTACTAAAATACAAAAAAATTAGCCGGGTATGGTGGTGTGTGCCTAAAGTCCCAGCTACTCGCAGGCTGAGGCAGAAGAGTTGCCTGAATCTGGGAGGCGGAGGTTGTGGTGAGCTGAGATAGCGCCACTGCACTCCAGCCTGGCAACAGAGCAAGACTCCATCTAAAACAAACAAACAAACAAACAAACAAACAAACAAACAAACAAACAGTGCACCTTATGAGCAAGGATGCCCTTTGCTGTACAGGAGCTCCCTGTAGTTCCGCTCTTAGCCTACCTTCAGCCTTGCAGGGAGGTGCTGGGTGCCCCTAGCATTGCTCCCAGAGCCAGGTCCTGGGGAAGGACAAGGGCTCTAGGAAGGAGTCTGGAGGGAAAATGAGGTGAAGTGAAGTGCCCTGAACAGGTGAGCACAGCAGCAGGTCTAGATCCACAGAGAAACTGGGACTCAGCACTAAGCACCAGTGTACAGGCAACGCGGCCCATGGACATTAAGGAGGCATGAACTCACCTCCTTCAGGAGGCACGCTTCTCCCCGGAGCTTGCTCTCACTGTCTCTGGGCTTCTCTGGGGGGAACTGCAGCCTGGTAATGCAGGGGGATGGGGACCAGCCCCTAAGTGAATAGAGGATCTCAGGTTGAAGGCAGGGACTGTGGAGGTCATCAGGGCCATCCCACTGCTCTGGCTTGACCCCATGCCCCTGGGCTGGGAAGGACAGAAGTGCATGGCTCCGGAAGAAGAGGAGGGGAAGAGTGGAGCTACCAGGAAGGAGATCCCCTCTGCTGCATCCCACCAAGCCATTCGTCCCCATAAAATAACAACCTTGGTTATAACTGCAGAGACCCAAATATGGGAAAAAATTCCAAGGTCTGTTATCCCTCAATTTGTAATTAGAAAAACCATGTTTGAGCCCAAGCTGTGTCTCTTACCAATGGGATCAATTTTATTAAATCACCCAATCTCTCTGAGCCTCAGTTTCTTCTCCTATAAAGTGTTGTTGATGGTGCGCACATTTCAAACTCATTGTGGAGAAAAAGGACAACATAGGGCCACTATCAACAACCCTTCTGGAATGTAATTTGTGCTAATACACAAAAGTTTTTTACCATTGCTATGCGTAAAGAACCTGATTATCTGAACAGCCAATCATGTAAACCATATTTCAGTCACTTTGATAACCAAGAGGAAACATGTCTTTCACTAAGAAATATTGTTCTGGGTTATGCTGCATCTGTAGGCTCCTCCACCTCACCCCTGCCCACATTTGCTCACACTCTGCGTCGCGGAATGCAGTAGGTGGATCCTCAGGGATCTCTGCAGTTAAGGAGAAGCCCTTGGCCATACATAAGGCTCTTCCGCAGTGCAGGAGAGCTCATTCTCCCACTCCCCCTCCACTTGAGTGACTAAAATTGAATCAGTAGAATTCAGCAGATTAAGAAAATTGGTGTCATCCCACAGCTTCATTACCTTGCAGGAGATAATAGCACCTCCAGATCCCAGAGGGCAATTACCAAACTATAACACATCATTCATGAGCTAACCATACATCCGCCCCCTCTGTGAGCTGAATCCCTGCCACCCTCCCTTGGTGCAGAAGACTTTACTTCCAGAGAGCACCCCCAGCCCAGCAGTGCCGTGCACATTCCTCCCCCGACACTTCCCAAGCATAGGCAGATGCAGCCACTCTGTCAGCCTCAGAGCATGAGGACCTAGTTGCAGGTTGAGCGCCTGAACCCAAAATGAGATAATACCTTTGCAAAAACTGTCATGTATTGTCTTAAGAAAGCAATTATAATCAGGGCTGGGGTGCAGCTATGTCTCATAAATGACTTTGTATAGGACACTGCAGGCCACCAGGAACATCCCCATCTTTCATTTGTGTTTCCTGCAGAGAACTTCTCTCTCTCAGAGAACTTCTACATGGCTGAATTCCACGTGGGCCCCACATGTGTACCGCAAGTGGTGTGGTACACAGTGCAAACTTCATCACCAGTGAGGGACTGAGACCAGTTCTCTTATGACTCAAGTTAAAAAATAATAATGAAGTTTTTTTTAAAAGCAAGCGTTTTCAAGGGCCTTCCAGTAGCTTGGGGGAGAAGATATGTATTTTCTTGGATAGGCAAAGCAAAACATATTGATTATGACAATGCAGTGATTTTTGGAAGCAAATCTAATGAGAATAGTTGCCTTTTAATGTCAGGCCACCCCAACTGGGATTCCTTGGCTTATCATCCCTTTTTGTTTACCCTTTGTAATCACTGAGGCTCAGTCCCTATGGGTACTGATGTTGGGTGAATTGGAGGAACCGGAACATTAAGTAATTCACCAACTGAAGACACAGCCATTCTGACTTTGCAAGCTCATCCTCTTCTACTTAAACCTGTACAGCTGAGGTTCTTCAAGGCTGGGTTGTAGTCCTCTTTTTCTCCTTTGTCCAGACTCTTCTATGGAGAGTCATTCAAGTCATTATATGCTAGTATAGTAAGTGTGAACGACATACATATATCTTCAGCACCTACTTGTCTTCTGAGCTCCAGACCTACATATTCAAGTGCCTTTCTGATTTCTCTCCTTGGATGTTTCCAAAGCACATCATACTGGTCATGTCAAAAGCTAGATCAGTGACCCCTCACTGACCACTCCCCAGCCTGCTTATCCTCTTCTGTGCCCATAATGCTGAGCACCCAATGGCAAGACATGAAGCATGGCAGTCACCCTTGACCTCTTCTCCTTTAGCCGCACATTCAATTCCTTACCAAGTCATCTACGAACTAAACGTTTATTAAACATACCCATTTCTCTATACCGCAACCATAATTTTAGTCCAAGCTATAATCATTTTCTGCCTGAGATGCTGAAATGGCCATCTATATGGCCTGGTGTCCAGCATCCCCACCTGCACCAAAAGTGACCTGCTCAATACTTAACTATGGTGACGCTGACCACGTTATTAAACATTATTCAATGGCTTCTCATTAGTTTGAGGATAAAGCTAAACATTTTTCATGTTGTCTGTGAAGCAAGTAAAGGCTGACATGAACCCTCATGTAGATTCCACCGCAATGAATCCTGCACACCCCAGATGACAACTTCAGCACCAAGGCCACATGAAAATATTTGGGGCATAGAACATTTATCTTAATTGGCTATGTTAAAGGGATAAAGGAAGTCTTGGATCTTTGGGCTTCTGGCCCTTCCAATCAATAGCACATAAAATACGTAAAGCATTGCTTTTGGTTGACAGTAAGAACAATAAATCCTCAATAAATCACATTAATGAGAAGTCCTCAATTATAGAAATCAATAAGACTCTCAGAGGTAATGCAAACATAACTCAGGAACCTGGAATAAACTGGGACATGACCATGTATTTCTATGCATACAGAAGTTATAAATATGCATGTGAACACTGGGTGGGGGTTATCCAAAGATGGTAGGAAACTCCTGTGAATTTCAAATCCCCTAAAAATAATTTTGCTGTGAAGTCTCAACTCAGCTGATATTAATTATTTAACAGCTAATTTAACATAGTGGTTAAGAACGTGACTCCGGAGCCACAGTACCCAGCTCATATTCTGACTTTACTAACTCATTCTGGTTCTCTGGGCAAATTACTTAACCCACCTGCGCCTTGGTTTCCTAAATAATGAGAAGGATTGTAACAATAGTGCCCACTTCATTAGAGCTATTGAGATAATTAAATTATATACAAAAGACATTTAAAAGAATATCTAATATATAAGAAGCACTACATAAAATATTAATATTGCCTATGTTTTTATGTGAGTATGGTCAGCAGCATAATGCTTCCTCAAAGGACATTCCCTGTCCCAAATCCCTAGAATCTATGAATGTGTTGCCTTGTGACAAACGGACTTTGCAGATATGATTACAGTTTAATCCCTGAGATGGGAGATAAGAGGTGCTGCTTATGATATAGACCTTGATGATGAGGGCTTTTAGGCCTGGCCTGGTGAATAACTACATATGCTTCTGCTCCTCCGAATGAAACTAATTTTTCTCCTCTGAGTTTGATGTGGTTTGAAGGCATTTTGGTTGAGGAAAGAGCAAGGGTCGAACCAGTAACAGGCTGGCTATGGGAGAAGCCTGTGGATGGCAGGCCAGAATTAGGGGCAGGCAAATTTAGGAGTGGAAAGTTGCTCTGGGGAAGTAATAATATTACAGAATGTTTATTTTGTGCTTATTACAGACTAGGTGCTACTCACCCCACTTAATCCTTAGAACTCGTAATTATTTCCCTAAACAGATGGAGAAACTAAGGTATGGATGGTGTCATGCACAAGGATGCGTCGCTGGTGAGTTGCAGGTTTGGTAGATCTGAGATTAAAGCCTGCACAGTCTCGTGCCAGAGCCTGCACCCTTGGCCCCACCCTACACTGCAAATTGACCTGGATTACATCATGTGGTGTTTGAATGACAGGATTTATTGTCGAGGCAATGGGTAAGTACACAAAGGTCTGGATAGGATGTGGCCATATCAGAGATCTGCCCCAGGAAGACTGCTCTGGCATCGATGCCAAGATAGAGTCAGTGGACCAGGGGAAGCAGAGACCAGCTCAGAGCAGGATTCCCAGTGAAGGAAAGGACGAAGAGGCAAACGGGAGTCTGTGAGGGGGTGGTGATATTTGTGCTGGAAGAGGTGTCTGAGTTGCTTATCTGGGAATCACTGTAGAGAATTGTCAGGCCAAGTTTTGAATTAAGCATAAGGAGAAATAATTTATGTAGCTATAAAAGCCCAGAGTGGGTGACTGAGTTGGTGGCTTACATGGTCTCTAAATTGAGTAATGCTATGTCAGAGACAGGAAGGCAAAGGCATCTCAGCCGTGGGATTCATCTGCAATGTCTTCTTCAAGGCGTAAATATGTTTTTATTAGCTTTATGCATATAACCATAAGGAATTAGAACATCAGAGAGAAGAAGACCCTCATAAAATTGGGATCTTTTTTAGCACAGGTGCCAGGATGTCAGGTATCAGGTCACTTTCAGATGATTCACCACAGCGTCCCTTTCCTTGCTGCTGGTGGTCACTCTACACAAGGCCAGTGGGCAGGCTGAAACCACCAAGGTCAGCAACCCAGGACAGGGAAAGGCAGAAGCCTTTCTTTCCACTCTCTTTCCCAGGGTATTGGGAGAGCTAAACCATCCAGGCATTGGTCTTTCCACTGCAGAAAATTTTTCTTCCCCAGCCAAGGACCTTAACTATTAGCCCAATGGGTGACTCTTGAATCTGGGACCACTAGGTCCCTCACTGCATGGAGATTAGTTATCAAAGGCACTGCTACGCTGAGCAGTCTGTTGCAGAGCTGACTTCGGTTTGATGTTAGGTCGTTTTGACTTTATCCTTAGAAACAGCTGCTGAGAGTGTCTGCCAGTGTTCTACAATGTGCCGAAGAAGCCAGCCAGCATCTTTTTACCCTGCCTGTACCTCCAAATCACTGGGGAACCTATGCCTCACCCGAGGCCGATTGACCCAGAACGGCTTTGGCTAAGACACAGGTGTTAATAGTCTTTAAAGCACTCTTTGTG
This sequence comes from Homo sapiens, assembly GCF_000001405.40. NCBI lineage: Eukaryota > Metazoa > Chordata > Mammalia > Primates > Hominidae > Homo > Homo sapiens. The sequence continues at coordinate 139,197 of NT_187581.1, forward strand.
AAATCTAATTTGCATTCAGAGCTAAGAAACACTGTGCTAGATTTTTTTAAAGATGCACACAGCTATATGCCATGATTCTTCTTCCGGTTGAAGGAGACAGAACTTGTGAACATAAGAATTATCAGCCACAGGAGGTAGCAGATGCCAAATGCTGAGCGCTATCACTAAATGCCAATCATGAGGAGACACGAACTAATATGAGGTGATGCAGGAAGTCTTCCCAGAGGAGGTGAGACTTGTGACAGGAAGGGAAGCAGGGTTAGGACTTAAACAAATGGAGGGGGCATCTTTGATGTCAGAATCCCAAGAGCAAATGCACCAAGGCTGTGCATGTAAGGTGAAGTGAGGAACTGACCCTCAAGCCCACCTCTGCTGGGGGAAACAAGGTGGTTCAGTGTCGTGAGTGCTTTTTCCATGCTGAGGAGACTGGGGAGATGAGACGGTCTCATTGATCTGCTAGGGATGTGTTCCTGGCTCCAGTTCCAGCTCGTAGTCCACCTCGGAAGGACTGTGGGCTTAGATCACACCCTCCCCTCCCTCCTCATGGATAGGCGAGGGCAGAGATGAGACAGAGAAGGAGGAGAGCTGAGGGGTCACCAGCAATGTCCCTGGACGGGGCCCTCAGAAAGGCGTGGCAGCCCAGGCTCGCTCAGGGAGAGCAGTGAGCGATCGTGGCCCCACAGGCTTGGAACTAATTCATCCGTGAGCCCTTCCTGTTTCCTTTAGCTGGCCGATCTTAAACTAGACCGCCACGAAATGGAGCCCTGAGACCCACTCTCGGTTTTCGGATTTGGTGAGTCTGGGGCAGCGTGGGGATGTGGACACCCAACAATCTCCCACGTGACAGTGATGCTGCGGCTGCGACCTGGCTCTGAGAGGTGCTGGGTGCATTTCATCCTGCGCGCTGAGTTCGTATTGAGGAAAGATCTTTTTGAAAGTTTCCATCTTAGCTGTGCTGAAGGAAAATGAAGACAGGGGTGTCTGCTCACACCTGGATGATCCAGAGAGAGAAAGCTGATCCCACAGTCCTGAGGGCTGGTGCAGTGGCAGCAGAGGGATAAACAGCAGGCGACTCTGTGGGTACAGAGATATGGGCTACGCGCTGGCATCATCACAGCCTGGGGTATGCGGAGCTTTGCTTCAATGATGGAAACAGTTTCCTTCCCATTGTCAGGGATTCCAGGGAGTTTGTTGTTGTGGCCAGACATGGGGTCCTGATTAGAGAGGAGAGGGATACAAGAAGGACAGACTGAGGCAAAATTTCTAGATAGCTTTAGACTAGAAACTTAGGGGCTTAGATTTGAATAAATGTTCTAACGTTTGACGGCAGTGTGGTTTTAATCCTGTCATTTATTCTCCCTGAGCCTTGTGTCTAATCTTTGAAATGGAGATGACAACGATGACAATGATGATGATGATGACAATGACAGCAAATAGTCGTAGCCAGCACAAACAAGAGCATGAAGCCTGCACACCCTGCAACAGGCCTGCGTCTCCTCCCAAAGCAATGCCCCAAGCACATCCTCGGACATTCCCTGTCCTGGGTGGCCGGAGGGCAAGCGAATGAGCTGTCCTCGTGATCCTGGATCCCTCCCTAGGGTACTTGGGGTGCCGCATGAGGCGGTCAGGGTGGTTGGTGTCAGGAGAAGAATGTTGAGGAACTGGTGAGGGCATGAAGGAGGAGGACAGTGGAGGAGAGAGGGCATCCTGGAGAAAGTCACCTTGGAGCTGAGATGGGAGCAAATGATGGCTTGCAAGGCAGTCAAGAGAGAAGGGCACTCTGCGTGGAGACAGTGTCATATATGACTGCATCAATATTAAAAGACCAGGAGGGCACGATCAGTGAGTGTCACAGCGTGTGTGCTTGCTGCTGTAAAGGAAGGGCTCTGGGTGAGTCAGGTGAGGGCCTTGCGTGCCCTGCCAGGCAGTCGTGGGTGCCGAGCAAGTATCGGCTGTTGTCCTTTATCTAAGCAGGTGCACCCTGACCATGCTAGCCTGACAGCCCCACCCCACTGCAGGATGCTTTTGCCTATTTCAGCTCCAATCTGGTCTGCGGCAGTGACCATTGTGTCCTCTGGCTGGTGCTGGAAGGTCAGGACTGATCTTTTCTAGTCTGGATGGCTGGGCCTCTCTTCTGCTGGGGTCAAGTCCCCACCTCTGAGTGTAGTGAACCAAACATGGGTTAGTCTTCTGCAGGCCAAGGACCATACTGGGCACAGCAAGGAAGAAGAGGATGTCCAGAGCAGCCTCTCTTTCATAATCCTGTGGAAAAGACGAAGGGAAAACTGTGCTTACGTTTGTGCCACGTGCCAAACCATGGGCCAGGACATCACTGAGATTTTATTTAATGTGAAAAACAATGCTCTAAACCAGTATCATTCTTCCTGTTTTATAGAGAAAGAAACTAAGGCTCAGGGGTGCTCCTAACCGGCCCAAGCCACGGCTGAGAGAGAGTGGGCCAGACATCTATAAAGGACGATGATGAAAGCCAACCCAGCCCCTGTGACGCCCTTGGTTTTCATCCATGGCGTTAAAGCAAGATAAAGACCTCGCATGGGAATAAAGTTTTCTGGGCTTGTAAGGGGAAGGATGATAAATTACACTGTGGAAAACGGGGCCAGTGACTCACAGCTGGAGGTGAGCTCCGCTGCCAGCCACTTCCCTGCTGGCTCATGGCACAGAGCCCCTTCCCTCCAGGAGCAGCCTCTTGTGTATCTGACTCTGGCCTGGCCCAGCATACTGTCTACACTGCAGACAGAAAGCATGTGGCCTTAAACCTGGCACAGAGTGAAAGCTCAATAGCCATGAGCTGTTGTTTTAAGTGAGAGTGTGAATCAGGGCAGGTTCTGTCCTTCCTGAAGCACCTTCTCTTACTTTCTGGTGCCCTTCATAAGAAACCCCCCAATTCTGGCCTCGCCCACCCTCCCACCTCGCTCCCCGTTTGTCAGGCTGAACTGCTGCCCTTCTCCACATGCCACACTGCTCTCTTCCGTGCCTTCACTTTGTGCTCTCTGAATTCCTTTGTTCTCTAATCCATCTGACCAGCTTCTCCTCCCAGATGGCACCTCTAGCCTGGCCTCTCATTCTCTGCACTTTGTATTTCCTTCTCCCTAACACTCCTCATAGCCACAGGGATGGTTCAGGGTCCTTCTCCCCAGGGGCTAGGGCCTCCTAAATTCAGGCTGTGTCTTGCCGAGACTCCAACCCAGTGCCCCGCAAAGCTTAAGATCCTTAGTGAATGCTCAGGAAATGTTTGCAGAAGGAAAAAATGCTTTTCTCCAGCATCAGCGTCCTTTCTTTTTTCACGTTCTGCCTTTGGCAAGCTCTCGTCCCACCACTCAACCTTCCCAGCTGGGTTTAGTCTCCCTCCTGGGCCATGAAACCTCCTCCCCACCCTGCCCTCCTCCTGAGGGGCTGTGCACTCTTTTCTCTGAGGTTTCTGCTCCTGGTTTCTTCTGCTGGTACATCAGTTAAGTCCTTGTATTGTTTACCCTTCTGCCTCCCTGTGAGCCTGTGAAGGGCAGGGGCTGTCTTGTTCATCTTTATATGCTCAGCACAGAGCCTCCACAGGGTCGGGACTTGGGGAACACTTGCTGTTTAAATGATGGACTGGTTGAGTAAATGAAAAGCAAGTCTGCACTAGTATTTGGAATGGATGCCACTGTGGGTGTCAGGAGGAAGTGAAGTCACTTTCTCCTGTTCAGAATGAAGAGCAAACAGACCTTAAAGTCTGTGTGTGCTCCACCGTGGTGCTGGCTTTTAATATGGCACACTAAGGGAAGAGGGATGGACACGCACCAGGGCACAGCCACCCCGCCCCACGCACCTGCTGCCAGTGGAACACAGCTTCGGCACATGCTAGTAAGAGATCAGGATACTGCAACAGGGAAGCCCGCTCCCTTTCTTGAGGAAGTCGAGGCCTAAAGAAAATTGGAAGGAGTGTCTCCAAATAGACTTGGGAAGGCATTCCCTGGGGAGCAGAAGCCTTCTCTGAAAAGCATTGTGTGCTGAACAAGTTAAATGTATTTATTTAACTGTGCTGGCTTGCTCAACAGGTGCTGGGATGATCTAGAAGGGCTCAAGAGGCTCCCATCTCCCAAACTGAAGACCTGGCCCCTCTCCTTCAAGTTTACAGTGGCTGATGCAGCTGAGCGAGGAGCAGCTCTGGGGCCTGGGAGGGGAACATCTCACTACAGGCAACGCTGGCTCCCCACTGCTGAAGAAGCTGGAAATGGATCTCTGTGGTTTTGAGCCATTGCAGTTTCAAGTCTGCTGATGACAGTGGCTGAACCTACACTAACACACAGAATTCTGCCAACAACAATAGCTCTGGGACAAAATACAGACTGCCTTTTACTGAGACATATGTGAGGTCTGTGTGCCTGCAATAGCTTCACCTACATTCTAAGGCCTGGAAGAGCAGGGCTGTGATTTGTGCTTCAGTATTTAGGACAGCATTTGCCTTTTCCCCTAGTTTAGTTATGGAAGCATTTGTGTAAGTCCTGGGTTCCTTCTTCCTTAAATGTTTGAAAGGATTCACTGGAAAACCCTTTCTGGCCTGAATTTGTGTGTGTGAAGGTTTTCAATCGAGTATTTAATTTCTCTAATGCTTGTTACAAGTGATCTCTTTGTCTGATTATTCTATGTCATTCTAAAGCACAATCTTTAAAAAGTTGTGCTTTTCTGGGAATCTGTCTGTCTTATCTAATGATGCAAATTCACTGACATAAAGTTGTTCTGTTATTAGAGATTTTATGAGCTGTGTGGTCTGTACTGATGTTGCCTTCCATGTTATCTTGGTAGCTGAAATTGTCTTTTTTCTTTTCTTTTTCAAAAAAATCAGACTCTCCAGGGGTTTATTTAATTAATTATTCAATTAATTTGTTTTAAGAAACAACTCTTGACTTGATTGACTGTCTCTACTAAACACTTGCTTCTATTTCACTGATTTCTGCCTGTGCACTTATGTTGTTTTCTAATTCTTGTACTGAAGCACTTAGCATGGTGCCGGGTAGAGAGTAACTTAAACGTTAGCATCACCACTGTAAAGAAAAGCCTCAACTCAGGGTGTCTGTTATAAGAGATTGTTAAACATTAGAACTTTCACAACTTCTTTGGTGATGAGGTCTCAGAAAACATTAAATCCATTTGACCCATTCAAACTTTTACTATTATCATTATACATTAAATCCATGTATATTTGAAAGCATATGAATATATATATTTGAAAACATACAAATAAATATAAATTTATTAATATAATATGTATTTGTATTTAATATACATATATTCTTTTCATTACTTATTATTCCTTATCTTTGTGCTTCCACCTGGAGATATAATCCCTCTGCTGAAAAATCCCCTTAGTATTTTATTTACTGTAGATCTTTCAGTAGTAAATGATCTCCATTTATGTGTATGTAAAAATGTTTACTTTCACCTTCACGTCTGAAGCATTGGGCAGAAACTTCCTTTTACTACTTTGAAGTGGTTATTCACTGCCTTCTAGCTTGTATTATTCTGCTGAAGCATTAGCTAATTGTATTATTGTTGCTTGTTTGGGAGGAAATTGCTTTTCTTTGTTTGCTCTTAAGTTCTAGTATTTGAAAGTACAATAGGAAAATTACAGCAACTATAATACAATTTTTTAGTAAATATAGTACAATTTTTCTCTTCTAGTTATTTTGAAATATATAATAAATAAGACATAATACATGTACAGAATGTGTAATGACCACATCAGCATAATCGGGATCTCCATCACCTCAGACATTTATATTTTGTTTGTGTTGGGAACGTTACTATTTTTCTCTTCTAGTTATTTTGAATGTATAATAAATAATAATTATATATTTAAAATATTGTGTATAATAATTATATTTGTCAAAATAACTAGAAAAGAAAAATTGAAAGTTTCCAACACGAAGAAAATGTGTCTGAGGTGATGGAGATCCCGATTACACTGATGTGGTCATTACATGTTCTGTACGTGTATCACAACCATATGTATCCCCAAAATACGTAAAACTATATCAATAAAAATATTAAAAAACTTAAAAATAATGTTTTTTATATTTGCTTTTTAGTAATTTAGGTTTGAGGTGACTGGGTATCTTTTAAAAAATCTTTCTTGGAGTTCTTTATGCATCTCTAGCCTGCATATAAATATTTTTTAGTGGTTTTTAAGATAATTTCGGAGAATATCTCCTCATATAATATTTGTACCTCATTCTCTCTTCTTTCTGTCTCCACATGCTCACACATATACATACATATGTGTGTATATACCTTCCCTAGTTCCCATATTATCTCCTAAGCTATGCACACACATATACATATATATACCTTCACTAGTTCCAATATTATCTCCTAAGCTAGTTTCTATATTTGCAGTCTTTTCTTCTATGTTTGAATCTGGATATATCTAAATTCAATAATAATGACTCCTCTGTGTTTTCCGTTGTATAATTTCTATTTCTTTTATAAATTCAGCTTCTCACATGAAATTCTCTACCTGGCTATCTTGTAATGTCCTGAATATGTTTGTTATTTATTTTAAATCCCATATCTGATACCTGCCAGCATCTATTTATCCAGTGGATCTCTTTCCCATGTTGGCGTTTGTCTCTCTTATTATTCTGTCATGTGATCTTGTCTCCTGATATGCTTGGTAATTATTGATTGACTAGCAAAAATGTGTATGAAAAATCGTACAAATAATTTAAGTCTCTGGGTGATGTTTTCATCTGTGAGAGGGAAGTAATATTGGCTTCTGGCAAATTACTGTGATTAAAGGGGAAAGCCCTACTGTAATCAGAAACCAAGCCTGTGAAGCAGAACCTCGGGCTTCCTGAGGGTCTTCTCTTCCAGTCCCCTCACTCTGAGTGCAAGTTCCTTTGTGGGCCCAATGGAATGTATGGGCATTTCATGGACCATTCCATTCTGGTAAACTGTGAGCCCTCATTTTATATTCCTATCTCCTTCAGACCTACAGAAGCTCCCTGTGTCTTCCAGACTTCCCATTGGTCACACTTCTGATCAGTTTTTCAGAAACCCAGCCCCAATTTTGGAAATGGCAATGTTGGGGAAAATCAATATTAAATGTTGTCTCTGAACCCTGTTTTTCCCTCCACCCCCAACCAGGGATCTTTTTCCCTCAATTATTCTCTGATGCTTTCGAATATTTTTTTTTCTCCTCTCCCTTCTTTATTTTAAAAAGTTTTTCTAGCCATTCTTAACAGATGGCTTGTTCTCCTAAAGTTCATCTATTATTACCAGAAGCAATTGTTATTTTCTAGTCTAGACCATAAAAAAATCACAGGAATTTTGGTATTATGGAGATAATATAACAAAAAGAGTATTTCAGAAAGTCAAACCTGGTGGTTCATTTCAGAAGGGTCACTGACAGTAAAAGCAAGTTAATAGACGGTGGCCGCAGATGGAATAACCAATGGTTCTTATTAGGTATTCAGAAGATACGAAATGCTCAGTGGTGTATTTCTTCTCATTTTCGTGTATTTCATAAAAGGAGTTCAAAGAAACTCGAAAGCTATCATCTGGCCCTAAGCTTCCAGGGTAAAATAGGAACTATTGACTGAGAAATAGTTTGAAACTAACATTCTTGAACTATTGTTATGAACAAGAAAATATTTAATAGACTTGCATGAGGAATTAGAAAGCTTTTGTGTTTCTTTTCTAAGTCAATGTCATATTGAAGAGTAAACTAAAAGAGCCCTCTCAGTAGAATGAACATTTAAATAAGGATAAGAAGATAGACCTTAGGTAGAGATAGATGGATGTAGACACGGACATAGTCATGGATATAGGTAATAAAGACGTAGACACAAATGTGGACATGCACGTGTGCAAACAAACACACACACTACTACACTAGAAAGAAAGAGGGAGATTGGGGAAAGGGTCTGAGAGAACACAAAAGGAGTGGAGTCTGGAAGGATAAGTAGGAGTTACAAATGAAGAAGAAAAGCTTTCCATCTTTAACTGTGGAAAAACCTGTCAAACTCTGGTTGTAAATCCAAGTTTTCCAAATCGTTAATTTTCACTTGAAATTTCAGATTTCTCATTGGCAACTCACACATGAGTTGTTTTCCTTGAAGTTGTGTTATTTTTTGAGAAAATATCCATTCCATGAAAAAAATAAAGTCTATGTCAGCTTGCAACGCAGACACTTGCAGGCACGGCTCTCCTTGAGACAGTCAATGCGCTTCAGCAGCCTCAGAGGGGAACTTCCCGTTTGGCCTCATGGGATGTCACAAAGTTATGCACTCAAGGAATAAAATCAATAAGTTTTACTGCTTCATCAAGGCAATTTTTAAGTGGAATTGCCCACACTTGCTGTGCATGCATGGCCCTAAGATGATGACAGAGTATGGAGCCTCTGCCTTGATTGGTGCTGAGGCCTCAGCAGTTGTGTCTTCATTTTTGCATCATGAGTGGAAATGTCAGCACAGAATTAAGAAAACAAGTGGGTCTCATGAATCCTTCCATGGTACAGAGACCACAGTTTGAAAACCTTTGATGTGAGGCTTAAGGCGTGGGAAGAAGATTCTTCTTTCCTCCTTTTCCTGCTCCTACTGTCCCTGCTCTTCTCCTCCCACTTTGTCATCGCTCTGCCCTCCGTGGGTTTCTTTGGGGCCTGTCCTAGGAGTAGGAAGGGGCAGATGGCACTGGGGCTGCACTGAAAGCTAAAATCTCTCTGGAGCAATTAGGGTTTCTGGCTCACCACTGTTCTGGTTCCTTTTGCTGGTGGCTTTCTCTGCACCAACTCATCCAACCCCCACATTGCCAAAACAAATAAAACATAACGACAAAGCTAAAAATTCTACAGGAATTAATGTGTATACTCTTTCTTTTCTGTAATAATTCCTGTGCACAAATTAAGAATTTAAGGAGCTTTCAGAAAACTCCCCTACGCATTATTTTTTACTTCATCTTCACAGCAAGCTTGAGAGGCAGGTAAACACATATCATTATTACCGTTTCACTAATGAAGAAACCAAGGCTCAGAAGGGGTGAGGTCATGCTAAAAATCTAAACTTAGCCACCCACTGGTTTCCCCTCTGAGGATCCAAGTTCTCAGGGCAGGGAAAGTGTCTGTCCAGCTCTGGAAAATCATTCTGAAAACCCTGTGCAGTCATCAGCAGGAAAGGGAGAAGTGTTATGTGAAGTCTTCCGTGTAACTCCTAGGAGCCTCTCCTCATGGTGCCACATCCTTGCCTCTGGCATGTTCCTGAGAGCTGAGTTTGGGTTGGACACCTCCTCTCTTTCTCCTTCCCCACAGCTTTGAAAGCCCAGCCAAGTCCTTAGCTGGGCTCACTAACTAGGCTCAGAACAAAAGACTGATCTGTCCCATAAGTCAGCACTCCAACTGGTTCAACTAGACTATCAACCCTTCACGGGAATCAATTGCTTCTCAGCAATGGCAGGTGATTGGCAGGTGCTGGGGGAGGAAGAAGGGAGTGGGGAGAGGTTGTGCGGAGCTGCAGGGAGTGGCACCAGTGTGGCCAGGGTCTGCAGGAGGTCACTAGCTCTGCTCTTCACAACCCTTAACCTTTTGAAATGACAGATACAAAATTACTTGCTGGATTTGAATTTATTCCTTTGCCTTCAACACTGGAGTTTTCCTGATGAGATGAGGGTTGACACAAGTTTTCCAGACTTCTAATCTCTGAACACTCTGAAAAAATAAAACCTCTCTGACTCTTTGGAGAATAGGTCCTAGTAAGTTTCAAAGGGCTACATCCCTGTCAATACCTTCATCCACAAATGTGAACTGTATTCAAAGCAGGTGGAAAAAAGTTCTCAATCCTTCAGGTTATAAACCTTTATGTGGGGCAAATATTGTGACTCCGTGTTATTTTTACAGAATATAGTGACAAAAGCAAAACAGCAGGTTCACAAAGTTAGCATCTCCCTTCCTATGTGGCAAGTCTGGCTTCCATCCTGTAGGACATTGACATGGCTTGGATGTCCCACCCCAATCTCATGTTGAACAGTGTTTCCAGGTGCTGGAGGTTGGGCCTGGTGGGAGGTGTGTGTATTACGTGGGCAGATCCCTTGTGAATGACTTGGGCCATCCCTTGCTGATGAGTGAGCTCAGGCTTTGAGTTCACATGAAATCTGGTTGTTTAAAAGTGTGTGGCACTGCCTCTGCCTCTTTCTCTTCCTCTTCCTCCTGCTCTCACCATGTGACACGCCTGCTTCTAATACAATCTGCCTGCTGTCGCTTGGCCTTCCATCATGATTGAAAGCTCCCTGAGGCCTCACCAGAGGTGGAGCAGATGCTAGCCATACTTCCTGTACAGCCTGCGTACCTTGAGCCAGTTAAACCTCTTTTCTTCATCAATTACCCAGTCTCAGGTATTTCTTTATAGCAATGCAAAAATGGCTTATTACAAGTGTGCAGGTCATTTAGGAAGAACTTGAGCAGGAGGCAAGGTAGGGAGTAGAATGAAGAGAAACAGAGGCCATACTGTGAAACCTCACCTGTCACCACCCTCTCCAGGTGTGTGTCCTTGGTGTTGGAGTAAGAGGGATTGGAAACCTCACCTCGGGATGGCTGTGATTTTAGTCCATCCATTTCTGCAGGTGCTGGCTTCCTTTCCTTTTATGTCCCCTGAATTTCTCTGACTGCTTTTGAGATTATAGCAAGGTGAATGGGTGGGATGATGGGGAGATTTAACTATTTCCTGGCCCCTGGAGCATCTCCAACCTCCGACTTAGCGGGCAGGGGCTGGGCTGTGGGTCATAGCCAGCCTGCGTTATCAGGGGGTGCCTGTCATTCTAACCCCCTTATCTATAGCAGACAGGTTCACACCTAACCCTTATCTCACGTAGGCTGGGGGAGTTTGTGAAAACCCTCCTGAGCAAAGTAGCAATGACTCTTTTCACTGAACAGGCACAGCGAAGCTAAATATTTCCTTCTTACCTGCCTCTTTCCTATCCCCAGTACTCAGAGGGAGGCCGTGAGCCCCGGGGATGTTCCCTCAGTAGGTTGTGTGTTTTCATCTTGGTTTTCCACACAGGGGATGTATTTGTGTTGTCCTCAGCACCTTCTTACCTGGTGTCTTTGTGACAAAATGAGGGAGCTGGATGGGAGAGGGAGGCTCATTTTCTGGAGGTATTGAATAAAGAGGGCCTTTCCTCCATTGTTTTGGTTGAGAGTTTAATAATATGCACTGAAAGTCAGGGAGAAGTGCTGAATTGTCCTTCCCTCCTACCAAGGAAGTACCAGGCTTTGGGCTGTCTGTGATAGAACAAGGGATGGCTCCCGAGAGCCTGGCAAACCCAAAGTAGGGGTTTGATGCAGGTGGTTCAGCATCCTGGCATGTAGGCAGCGAGTCAAGTTGAATTTGCAGTGGAGTGATAGGTGAGCTGAATTATCAACTCAGGAGTCAGGTCGACACACAGGTGTTCCGGTGAAGGCCAGGGCAAGCCGGGTCAGGCGATCCAGCCTGCAGGGTAGCCTTTCATTGGATGCTGATGCAAAGCAAGCGGCAAGCTTGGCCAGGGCCAAGTCCTGAGCACCAGGAGGACAAGGACATGGGCCAGACAATTTATGCAAGAAAATCATGGAGAGATGTGAGTGCCAGGGGCACCACCACTACGAAGTTACACCCTGCCTCAGATCAGCTGCTTCTGTGCAGTGTAAATTTGTTCTTGATGACTTATTTGTCATTCTGTTCCCAGAGTCTTTCTGGTTCAAAACAAGATTAAGTTTTTTGGTTCTTGATTTTTTTAAAGAAGGATCTTGCTCTGTTGCTCGGGTTGGAGAGCAGTGGTGCCATCATAGCTCACCATAGCCTTGAATTCATGTCCTCAAGCGATCCTCCCACCTCAGCCTCCCGACGTGCTGGGACTACAGGCCTGAGCCACTGTGCCCTGACCCCCTCATTTTCCCCAGGCATCCTTTCCTCCTCCAGCATCTCATCCAGGAGACCACATCATACTAGCTGTCGGGGATCCCTAGATTCCTCTTGGCTGTGCTGTTTTCTTGGGCTTTCCTAGTTCTTGCTGACCTTGACTATTTTCAGGAGTGCTAATTCGGTAGAACCTTCCTTTATCAGAAGGGTCCTGATGTTTTTCTCATGATGAGATGAGTTTATGCGTTTAGAGGACTAAGGGCACAGTGGTAAAATGCCGCTCATCACACCGAGTCAAGGGTACGTGCCGACCCCACTGACCGCTGTGCATGTGCCCTGATCGCCGGCCAGAGGAGCGCTGGCCGGGCGGTTTCTCCACTGTATGCAAAGGCCCCCCTTCCACGCTGCATTCTAGGAAGAAAGTCACTATGGGCAGCTCACATTTCAGAGTAAGAAGGTACGTTCCTCCTCATCGAAGGCTGAGCATCTACAGAAATTATGTGAAAAATTTTTGCATGGGAGATTTGACTTTTGTGTCCCATGTATTTATTTATTCATTTATTTATATCACTATAGACTCGTGGGCATTTATTTTCTGTTCTGTAATGTAATCCGGCATGTTATTTTGTTGCTGCAGAGCGCAGTCGTTGAGACCTCTTTCATTTCGCAGCTGTGTCCCTCTCACTTCCCTGCATCACTGTGTGTGTGTGTGTGTGTGTAAGTATGGTTATGTGAGTGTAAGTGTGGGTATGAGTGTGTGTGTATGTGAGTGTGTATGAATGTGGGTGTGTGTATGTGTGTGTGCGAGTGTGGGTATGTGAGTGTGTGTGTATGTTATTGTGTGTGAATGTAGGTATATGTGTGTGTGAATGTAGTTATATCTATGTATACGTGTGTGTGTGAATGTGGGTGTGCGTGTGTGAATGTGTGTGTGTGAGTGAATGTGGGTGTGTGAGAGTGTAGGTGGATGTGTGTGAATGTGGGTGTGTGAGTGTGTGAGAGGGTGTGTGTGAATGTGAGTGTGGTTATGTGACTGTGTGTATGCACTCTCATGTAATATTTTATTACTTGCTGGCACAACAAGATGTTCCAGGCTCTTTTTTTATTTCTTGTCTTAGTCCTACTAAGTCTTAGTCCTACTAAGTCTTAGTCTTAGTCATCCATTTCTATAAGGAGCCTGGTTTCTTTTATTGCAGAATATGACCACAAATGAAGACCTGGGTGTTAGATGCATTCCTTTCTACTGGGATGTCATTGCTTCTAGGTCTTCTCAGCTGACATAGACATGTGTATGCTATCCTGTGTATATGTGCATAGTTATAAATGTTTCTGTATGTAACTATCTGTGTATAAATTAAACTAAACATGAGTTGATTCTGATATCTCTGACTCTGATTCAGTGCCACAGGAATTATTCTAGCCTCCTCCCCCTCACCTATGTACTTCTGCTCCTACCATGAGACAACTAGCTGCTAGCATCTGCCATCCATTTACTTAATTGTTCAATTCCAGCATACACAGTTTTGCTATTTTAACAGGAAAAACATAAATTCTTTCATTAAAAGAAAAAGAAAAGACAGGTAAGGTGCAGAAAAGGGAGTACAACCCCTCTCAACACAAGAACACAAAGAGAATTCCAGATTCCTGATTTCAATCATTTCAGTAGGAGAAAAGCATTAGCTAATGCTCAGAGTGGGGATGAAAGAGAGATTGTTGGAAGTTTAAATAAAGGGAAGACTGCATGACATGGGCGAGCTTATTTGTAAAAGATGCAAGATTGCTAACCAGCATTGAGGTAGGTTTCCATAGTTGATTGCTCACCAGTGTTGAGGCAGGTGGTCATAGTTGATTGTTAACCAGTGTTGAGGCAGGTGGTCATAGTTGATTGTTAACCAGTGTTGAGGCAGGTGGTCATAGTTGATTGTTAACCAGTGTTGAGGCAGGTGGTCATAGTTGATTGTTACCCAGTGTTGAGGTAAGTGGTCATAGTTGATTGTTAACCAGTGTTGAGGCAGGTGGTCATAGTTGATTGTTAACCAGTGTTGAGGCAGGTGGTCATAGTTGATTGCTAACCAGTGTTGAGGCAGGTGGTCATAGTTGATTGTTAACCAGTGTTGAGGTAAGTGGTCATAGTTGATTGTTAACCAGTGTTGAGGCAGGTGGTCATAGCTGATTGCTAACCAGTGTTGAGGCAGGTGGTCATAGTTGATTGCTAACCAGCGTTGAGGCAGGTGGTGATAGTTGATTGCTAACCAGTGTTGAGGTAAGTGGTCATAGTTGATTGTTAACCAGTGTTGAGGCAGGTGGTCATAGTTGATTGTTAACCAGTGTTGAGGCAGGTGGCCATAGTTGATTGCTAACCAGCGTTGAGGTAAGTGGCCATAGTTGATTGTTAACCAGTGTTGAGGTAAGTGGTCATAGTTGATTGTTAACCAGTATTGAGGTAAGTGGCCATAGTTGATTGTTAACCAGTGTTGAGGCAGGTGGTCATAGTTGATTGTTAACCAGTGTTGAGGCAGGTGGTCATAGTTGATTGTTAACCAGTGTTGAGGCAGGTGGTCATAGTTGATTGTTAACCAGTGTTGAGGCAGGTGGTCATAGTTGATTGTTAACCAGTGTTGAGGTAAGTGGTCATAGTTCATTGTTAACCAGTGTTGAGGCAGGTGGTCATAGCTGATTGCTAACCAGTGTTGAGGTAAGTGGTCATAGTTGATTGTTAACCAGTGTTGAGGTAGGTGGTCATAGTTGATTGCTCACCAGTGTTGAGGCAGGTGGTCATAGTTGATTGCTAACCAGTGTTGAGGCAGGTGGTCATAGTTGATTGTTAACCAGTGTTGAGGCAGGTGGTCATAGTTGATTGTTAACCAGTGTTGAGGCAGGTGGTCATAGTTGATTGTTAACCAGTGTTGAGGTAAGTGGTCATAGTTCATTGTTAACCAGTGTTGAGGCAGGTGGTCATAGTTGATTGTTAACCAGTGTTGAGGTAAGTGGTCATAGTTGATTGTTAACCAGCGTTGAGGCAGGTGGTCATAGTTGATTGTTAACCAGTGTTGAGGTAGGTGGTCATAGTTGATTTTTAACCAGTGTTGAGGCAGATGGTCATAGTTGATTGTTAACCAGTGTTGAGGCAGGTGGTCATAGTTGATTGTTAACCAGTGTTGAGGCAGGTGGTCATAGTTGATTGTTAACGAGTGTTGAGGTAGGTGGTCATAGTTGATTGTTAACGAGTGTTGAGGTAGGTGGTCATAGTTGATTGTTAACCAGTGTTGAGGTAGGTGGCCATAGTTGATTGCTAACCAGTGTTGAGGTAAGTGGTCATAGTTGATTGTTAACCAGTGTTGAGGCAGGTGGTCATAGTTGATTGCTAACCAGTGTTGAGGTAAGTGGTCATAGTTGATTGCTAACCAGTGTTGAGGCAGGTGGTCATAGTTCATAGTTAACCAGTGTTGAGGCAGGTGGTCATAGTTGATTGTTAACCAGTGTTGAGACATGTGGTCATAGTTGATTGCTAACCAGTGTTGAGGTAAGTGGTCATAGTTGATTGCTAACCAGTGTTGAGGCAGGTGGTCATAGTTCATAGTTAACCAGTGTTGAGGCAGGTGGTCATAGTTGATTGTTAACCAGTGTTGAGGCAGGTGGTCATAGTTGATTGTTAACCAGTGTTGAGACATGTGGTCATAGTTGATTGCTAACCAGTGTTGAGGTAAGTGGTCATAGTTGATTGCTAACCAGTGTTGAGGCAGGTGGTCATAGTTCATAGTTAACCAGTGTTGAGGCAGGTGGTCATAGTTGATTGTTAACCAGTGTTGAGGCAGGTGGTCATAGTTGATTGCTAACCAGTGTTGAGGTAAGTCATCATAGTTGATTGCTAACCAGTGTTGAGGCAGGTGGTCATAGTTGATAGTTAATGAGTGTTGAGGCAGGTGGTCATAGTTGATAGTTAACCAGTGTTGAGGCAGGTGGTCATAGTTGATTGTTAACCAGTGTTGAGGTAAGTGGTCATAGTTGATTGCTAACCAGTGTTGAGGTAAGTGGCCATAGTTGATTGCTAACCAGTGTTGAGGTAAGTGGTCATAGTTGATTGTCAACCAGTGTTGAGGCAGGTGGTCATAGTTGATTGCTAACTAGTGTTGAAGCAGGTGGTCATAGTTTATAGTGCAACTAATCTGCTGCTCTGTGTGATTTCTGTTCAGTAATGGCCAGTCTTGCCAGTATGCAGATAAAGAAAGTTTGGTTCAGATCTTCTAAGGCAAAGGCTTAGCAACTACATTGGAGTATAGGTTAGAACAGAAATTTAAGCTTAATTTTAACTAAGTGATTATGAAGATAGAACAAAGATTTAAGATAGTAGGACATTAGGAATGAAGGAAAAGTGTAATCTGCAACTATAACAAGTTAAATAACTATGACACGTTAAATATCTATAACACTGATATAGACAACCAGAAAGCCATAAGATCAATGAGAGGAGGTCTTGGTGAGGTTGATGAAGCTTCTGAAATAAGTAGTCTGGAAGCAGGAGGCTGTGTGATGAAAGTGGGCTATTGGAATTCATTTTGGGAGTGAAAAAGTTATTGGTGATGACAAGCTATGACCCCAGCAGTGGCTGAATACTGACTCCCCTCGGGTAGATGAGAAGGAAATTGACAACGTGGAGGTTAAAGCCCTGTGAATCCAGGTGCTGAGTGTTACATGGATAGTGAGCCACCAAGAAGGATAGCAGGTGCTGGGGGTGAAGAAGAAGAAGAAAGTAAACAGGGGCTACACGGAAGGGTGACCAGGATGGCAGTGGACTATAGTCACCAGGAGTGGGGAGCAGGCAGGTGGAAAAGCCGCAAGGGGAATGGGCTTTGCAAAGAGACAAGGATGGATGGCATCTGATATTAAGGGATTTAGGTGTTGAATGATGACAACTGTTGAAAAAAAAATGAATGAATTGTAAGCACACATACACAAATGCAGACACACACCTTGAATAAAATCAAACTATGGGGCAGGATAGAGTTCTTTATTTCTACTTCATCAGTTCTTTCCTTCACACTGATGCTAAGCCTAGCCCAGACAGACCATCTCACTTGGCCCACACCCAGGCTGAAATTTGGTATCACTGGACAGGAGGAACACAGGGATCCCTCCACAGGCAGCTACAACCATCCCCTCACCCCTAATTGCTGCCTTTTGCATAGCTTCGGTTTTGACTGCACGATTATTGCACTTAATATTCAAGTTTCATGGTCATTTCAGGAAAAAATTTCCATTAATAAAATGCAAATGAATACACCTGGGTGTCTCATTTACAAATAAATTTCTCGTTGATGTTTACTTTGTTTTTATATTCTTGCAAGGTTAAAAAGTTACCGTTTCTTGAATATTCCTTATTAATTTTTCTAGACATCAATTAATTTGTTGAATAGATTTAAACTTTATGATTTTTTTTCCCGACTCATTGGAAGCAAATCTTCAATTAGCAAAAGTTCAGAATTTTCCCATACAAAATCCTTATGGAGTAGAAGGGATGGTGGGGCTATTTAAATATCCTTGTGTTCCTGACAACACATGGGCTCCAAGGTGTGGTTTTTAGAATCAACCAAAGAAAAGTGCTGTTCTCCCGGGAGAGCTGGTAGAATCTCACAAGCCAGCTCTCATATCTGCGGTCTTGCTGCCGCCTTGTCAGAGAGGCATCTAACTAGCTTTGAGTTTGGGGTCAGCACCCTAACCGGGTCTATTATACTCCGTCTGAAAATAAGGGACCACGTTTGGTAAATATCCTGGCCTGAGTGTCCCATCCTGCTTTTACAAGGAACAAACTGAAGCTCCCGGAAACGAGGGAACAGGGGCAGCTCTGACTGTTTTCGTCTCCGGTATACACGGCATAGGAACTATCACAATAGACACAATTAAGCAAGAGGCATTGTCAAGCATTAAACATTTATATTTAATGTACAGCGGGATCTTCTAAGGTAGCTGTTTCAATTATTCCTGCTTTAGAAATCCAGAAATTGGGAGGCCGAGGCAGGTAGATCATGAGGTCAGGAGATCAAGACCATCCTGGCTAACACGGTGAAACCCCGTCTCTACTAAAAATACAAAAAAGTAGCCAGGCCTGGTGGTGGGTGCCTGTAATTCCAGCTATTTGGGAGGCTGAGGCAAGAGAATCACTTGAACCCGGGAGCTGGAGATTGCAGTGAGCCGAGAGCGAGACTCTGTCTCAAAAAAACAAGAAAGAAAGAAAGAGAAAGAAGGAAAGAAAGAAAGAAGAAAGAAAGAAAGAAAGAAAGAAAGAAAGAAAGAAAGAAAGAAAGAAAGAAAGAAAGAAGGAAAGAAAGAAATTGAGGTATGCAGAATTTAACCTGTTCACAGGCAATCAAAGTGTCAGAGCCAGGATTTGAATAAGAGTGACGTTATGTCAAGCGACATATGCCACTCACAAAATAACAAACACTGCATGATTCCATTTATATGCAGTATTTTAAATAGCCCAACTCACAGAAGCAGAGTGGAAAATGGTGGTCTCCAGGATCTGGGAGGAGGGATGGGGAGTTGCTTCTCCTGGAGTGTGAAGCTTCCTTTATGCGGGTGAATCATTCTGGAGATTGGCTGCAACATCGTGCCTGCAACATCGTGCCTGCAGATGACACCACTGCACTGTGCACTTGGAAATCCACTCAGAGGGTAGAGCTCATGTTAAGTATCCTTACCATAATAAAACTTTAAAAAGAGAAAGAAGAAAAGATACTTTGAGACCTAACTCTTCCAATTTTTGTTCTGGCAGTCCTAATACACTCACCGAAGTTCATCCTTTTACAAAATTTTGCTGTAAACAAAACAAACAAGAAAAGATAGTCAGATTTCAGAAATGGAGAAGTTATAGCTAGAGCCTTCCAGCCTGAAACCTGGTATTCTTTCTATTCTACATTAAGGTGATTAAAAAGCAACTATCTGCAAGAAATGTCTAGGAAAATAAGGACACCTGGCCCTCCTCACCCTTTCCCCGGCTGTCTGCCAAGCATGGCGCTGTGTGAAGAGGAAAGGCAGCTTCAGGAGGCTTGTGGTGAGTCTCCTGGGTCAGAGAGGCGCAGGCCTGTGTCTCTTGGCAGTGAGCCCACCCTGCTCCAGTGCTTGCTATTTCTTGGTCCTCTCTACTCCACATTGTCCCAAAGGAGCAAGTTTACTGCACTCAAGTTGATCCCTCCCATACCAGAAGGAGCTCTTAGGCCTGCTTGGATCAATATCCTCACTTTGGCCCTGTCTAAGGCAATCAATGAAGAGCTGTCTGGCTGAGAACACAATCTGTGCATCAGGTCTGCATTTCACAAGGGCTCCCACCTCAGCCTTGAGCTGGGGGCTAATGGGGCCCTAATATGGTTCAGATCTGTGTCCCTGCCCAAATCTCTTGTTGAATTGAAATCCCCAGTGTTAGAGGAGGGGCCTGGTGGGAGGTAATGGGATCACGGGGCTGAATTCCCCCTTACTGTTCTCAGGGTAGTGAGTGAGTTCCCACAAGATCTGGTTGCTTGAAAATGTGTAGCTCCTCCCCTTTCACTGTCTTCCTCTTGCCCAGGCCATGTAAGATGTGCCTGCTTCCACTTTGCCTTCCACCATGACTGAAAGTTTCCTGAGGCCTCCGCAGCCATGCTTCCTGTACAGCCTGTGAAGCTGTGAGCCAATTAAACCTCTTTTCTTTAAAATTACCCAGTTTCAGGTACTTCTTTGTAGTAGTGTGAGAACAGGCCCCCAGGAGATGGGCATCTCCTCCAGAAATAACTGAAACAGTCTGTGCAAGACCTCACAGGGGTGTCTAAGGGAAAGAATACAGTCATGAGGCTCACAGAGGTGTCCAAGGGACAGAATACAGTCATGAGAGCTCACAGGGGTGTCCAAGAGACAGAATACAGTCATGAGAGCTCACAGGGGTGTCCAAGGGACAGAATACAGTCATGAGAGCTCACACGGGTGTCCAAGGCACAGAATACAGTCATGAGAGCTCACACGGGTGTCCTAGGGACAGAATACAGTCATGAGAGCTCACATGGGTGTCCAAGGGAAAGAATACAGTCATGAGGCTCACAGAGGTGTCCAAGGGACGGAAAACAGTCATGAGAGCTCACAGGGGTGTCCAAGGGACAGAATACAGTCATGAGAGCTCACACGGGTGTCCAAGGGACAGAATACAGTCATGAGAGCTCACAGGGGTATCCAAGGGACAGAATACAGTCATGAAAGCTCACAGGGGTGTCCAAGAGACAGAATACAGTCATGAGAGCTCACAGGTGTGTCCAAGGGACAGAATACAGGCATGAGAGCTCACACGGGTGTCCAAGGGAAAGAATACAGTCATGAGGCTCACAGAGGTGTCCAAGGGACAGAAAACAGTCATGAGAGCTCACAGGGGTGTCCAAGGGACAGAATACAGTCATGAGATCTCACAGGGGTGTCCAAGGGACAGAATACAGGCATGAGAGCTCACAGGGGTATCCAAGGGACAGAATACAGTCATGAAAGCTCACAGGGGTGTCCAAGGTACAGAATACAGGCATGAGAGCTCACAGGGGTGTCCAAGAGACAGAATACAGGCATGAGAGCTCACAGGTGTGTCCAAGGGACAGAATACAGGCATGAGAGCTCACAGGGGTGTCCAAGGGACAGAATACAGTCATGAGAGCTCACAGGGGTGTCCAAGGGACAGAATACAGTCATGAGAACTCACAGGGGTGTCCAAGGGACAGAATACAGTCATGAGAACTCACAGGGGTGTCCAAGGGACAGAATACAGTCATGGGCTCTTGGTTTCTTACCCCAAACACAAGTGAGTTTCACATTGGGAGAGAGACCCTGGTGGAAGGGGCTCTCAGGACCCGCACATTTGCCTTACTTATCCCTCCCTTCATATCTCCCGTGTTTGGGCCTGAAAACTCTCTCTGGTCCCGTGGAAACTAGCCCTCTCCCTCCCCATCAACTTTTATAAACTTCCTTTTCTATTTCACCGTAGAATATTCCCATATTTCTGAGGGGTGTGTGATATCATGATGTAATAAGAAATATGTATTTGATCTCTGTCCCTGGTTCCTGGCACAGAAATCCTAAAATCCTGGTAGTTTTCTGAGCAATGGGGTGCAAGATACATCTTTGGTTCTAGTATTTTGTCTTTTACCCCCTGTATCCGACACAGAGCTCCTAAACATTTTAAATTTCCTGGGTGATAGGAGCATCTTTTGTTTTAATGAGGTGACTCTTGCTGGGCTCCTGGGTGGAAGCTGGTCCCAGAAAGACCATGCTGGGAACATTCAACTCCACTCCTCATCCTCTGGGAAGGGAGTTACAAGTAATAATGTTTTATCAAAAGGGATCTGGCACCAACCTGAAGAAGGATCTCTGGACAAAAATGAGACAGTTGAGCACCAGCAACTGCAGTGGATTAAAGCACATAAGCTATGTTAACATCCATGACAGCTTAATAACCTTAAAAACAAACAAAAATGCCAAAGGATATAGTGGCCATTTAAGGATGATATTGAACTAACTCAAACTTTTGAAAACTGATAAATAAAAGGAAAAAAGTCAAGCGTTTATCCTACTTTCCCGTTGACACTGTGCCTTAGATTAACCAGATAAATGATGTGAAGACAGGAGATGGCATCAGAACCAGAGCGCCCACCTGTGTTCAGGGCTGAGCTGGCT
The DNA here is from genome assembly GCF_000001405.40 of Homo sapiens. Taxonomy (NCBI): domain Eukaryota; kingdom Metazoa; phylum Chordata; class Mammalia; order Primates; family Hominidae; genus Homo; species Homo sapiens. The sequence goes on from NT_187581.1 coordinate 160,757, forward strand.
CACTGTGCTCGGGCATCAGAACCAGAGCGCCCACCTGTGTTCAGGGCTGAGCAGGCTCACCGTGCTCGGGCATCAGAACCAGAGCGCCCACCTGTGTTCAGGGCTGAGCTGGCTCACTGTGCTCGGGCATCAGAACCAGAGCGCCCACCTGTGTTCAGGGCTGAGCTGGCTCACCGTGCTCTGATAGCATCAGAACCAGAGCGCCCACCTGTGTTCAGGGCTGAGCAGGCTCACCGTGCTCTGATAGCATCAGAACCAGAGCGCCCACCTGTGTTCAGGGCTGAGCTGGCTCACCGTGCTCTGATAGCATCAGAACCAGAGCGCCCACCTGTGTTCAGGGCTGAGCAGGCTCACCATGCTCAGGCATCAGAACCAGAGCGCCCACCTGTGTTCAGGGCTGAGCTGGCTCACTGTGCTCGGGCATCACAGTTCACAGGAAATGGAAAAGGCCATGCTGCAAGCCATGAGGACCAGGTCAGCCTCTGATGGGAGCTCTGCTTGAGAAAAATGAGAAGGATCCATCAATAATTTGTTCCTTTTCAGGCTCCTGGGGCAGGGCTGGCTGCCCAGTGCAGTAGGGTCCAGAGACGGATAAAGAGAAAGATGGGGAAAGTGGAACAACTGAGATCTTATCTGAAATCATGGGTGTGGGGACACCAGCTGGCCATGGAAACCTCTGTAGGAGTTAACTAACAAGTCCTTCCAATCACAGGTCAGGACTGTCCGCTACACTGGGAGACAGGGATAAGGGCAGGGTGGGAGGATGTCCTGCAGGTGTGTCTTGCATCGAATGGAGGTGGGGAGGAGCAGGCCTTTACCCAGAAAATTCCTCTTTGCTATTGATTTATTTTCTGTGCTAACCTACTGTCTTAATCAGTTTTGTGTTGCTATAACAGCGTTCTTGAGGCTCGGTAATTTATAAAAAGAAGAGGCTTATTTGGCTCACAATTCTGGTGGCTGGAAGGTTCAAGATTTGACAGCTCCATCTGGTGAGGACCTCACACGGCTTCAACTGCTACTGGAATGCAAAAGATGAGTAAGTGTGCAAAGAGACTACAAGGCAAGAGAAGAAACAGGAGAAACCAAGGGAGGCAGACTCTTAACAACTCACTCCAGTGAAAATCAATCTATTCCTGAGAAAGCAAGAGTGAGAGCTCACCCCCACAAAAGGACATTTACCTATTCAGGAGAGATCTACCCTTATGACCCAAACACCTCCCACTAGGCCCCACCTCCCAGTGCTGCCACACTGGGGATCAAATTTCAACATGAGTTTTGGCAGGACCAAACCACATCCGAACCACAGCATGTACCCTAATATCCCCACTGTAGGCAACTACAGGAACTCACTGTGGCCCAAATGTCAGTGTCATACCCCCTCCCCAGACCCTGGGGATCCTTAGGATGGGGGGCAGAATCACCCTCTGCATTTACCCCTCTCCTTCCAGGATCTGGAGCAAGGGGATGAGGATGGGTCAGGAGGCTCTGGGAGATGGAGGTGTTCCACAGTGAGGGTCTCGTCAAGGGCAGAACTCCTCAACTATCAGATCCTTAACAATAATAGTGACAGTGACAGTTTTTGAAGCCTCAGTCTGTGCAAGAGCTTACAGGGGTGTCTAAGGGACATAATACACTCTTGGGTTCTTCATTCCTGTTTCTGGTTGGGCCAGTAAAACCCCTTCCTCATCCCTCTTTTCCACTTATCACTAGAGACAGAAACTAAAAACCATGGCTTCGGGCTGGTAAAAGCCTGAAACAAAACAACCACCACAAAATAAGGCGGGTTGGACAAGCTTGGATTACTTTAAGTGATATTTTCTAGCCTTTGATTTTGCAAAATGTCTGAACATAATTAAAAGTTGAGAATACAGTATGACACAGGGCCTTTCTTCCGGTCAACAGCCCCACACACCTGTCTTCCTTACACACATGCACATATACACACACAGAAATGCAGAGAAAGGGAAGATGAAGCACTTAGTGCAGAGACAATTCTGCCTCTGGCACAGTCCTATAGTGAGCCTGCTGCAGTCAGCCACTCTGTGTGGAGTGGGAGGAGCAGAGTGGCCCTTCCTGCTGTTTTTTCTTTTCTTCCTTCACAGTTGCAAGCCCTCAATGACCTGGCACTGGGCCTTTCCCATTTGCCCAGGACTGCATGCTTCAGAGGGTGATAATGAATGATATTAATAACAACAACGCAACCACCAAATCAAAACAACAATCATAATTGAGGCCACCAACTTTAGGTTTCTCAGGAGGAAGATGAGCCGCTGTATATTAATATACATTAAATATATATATGTATCTTTTAGTGGTGATCAATAAAATTTAATAAATTCTATAAAATTTAACAAATATTTAATAAATACAATGTGATAATTATTTTTAATAACATTTAATAAAAATTAGCCACAATAAAATTAGTTTTAATGTGGATTATCCAAATTTTGGATATTGGAGAGACACCTTCTGCCAAAACAAATGGTCAAAGGTAAATTTCAATGTATCACCCAAAAATATCCTCTAAGGAGCAAACTCACTGATGTCATAGTCAAACATACTGCACTTATCATGTAGCATTCAGTAGGAAACTGACCATTATTTTGAAGAGAAATATTTAGTTTTCCCTAGCACATCATGGGCTCACTCTGATTACTTTATTCTGGTAGTTTCATGGCTCCAGAAAAGAGCAAATTCCAATGATTACTGTTCAGAACCAATGTCCAGGATGTCTTGGAGTTAGGAACCACCACTGGTTAGAGGAAGTAGCTCTCTCTCCTGCTGCTTCTCCCTGGCTGGGGGTTGCAGGGTACACCGAGGGGCTCCTTCTGTCCCGCTTCCTGCTGTTGGAGGCTGGGGACCAGCTGTGACCTTCCTTCCCACACAGGCCTTTGCTCCCTCAGCAAAGCAGGAAGTTCCCACTGACACCCCGAGGCCTTTCCCAACAGGCCGCTCTGCCTTTAGAAGGCTCAGGGAGCACCCCCTGGTGGGCTGCTTGCCTGGGCTGGGAGAGACACGAAAGGGAAGCTGGTTCCTTTTCAGCAAATTTTTCTTTGGTCTGAACGTTTTTCACAGTAATTTGGTATTCATTAATTCATTCATTTTACCATGTATTTGTTCAAAGATCTGTTCTACAAATATGTATTGTGTGACTACTATTTGCCAAGCCCCATTCTAGGTGTTCAAATAATGACTTGGGGAATAATAAAAGCGGAAATAATAAAATTAACAACTCCGTTTGTTTAAAAGTAATGACACTTAAGATATTTGCATACATAATCTTGTTTCTTGTTCAAAAGAGCACTATGCAGGTGAACGTTATTATCCCTTCCCTTGAAAAGATGAGAAGCCTGGAGCCTAAATTCAGACAGGCAGCACGTGTGAGCGGAGGTGGTATTTGAACACATGTTCGCCTGCAGCAAAGTCCAGTGACGCTGCTGTGCTGTCGGCGGCAGCCGAGCCCCCAGGACCCTCATGCTCTTGCTGGGACTATTTCCCGCTAGCTGAATGGCAGGATTTATGTTTACAGTCAGTCATTTACCAAGGAATTTTTAAAAACTTACTCCCAAACTCTTTGCCTGTCTTTCTCTTATTTATTCCATATTAGAAACCCACCTCCACTCTGCCTTCTCCAATAACATAGAAGCGAAGGTGCTTGCACTCTTCACCCAGGGCAGGAGGCTGCAGAGCCCTGCACGGTGCAGTGGGGAAGCCCCGCTGGTCCCTCCTCTCGGCTGTCCCTCTCCTCCTGGAGAGGGCCTCTGTGTCAAGGCCTGCCTGACACCTTCATGGCCCCCAGCAGGGAGTCCCCTTTGACTGACAGGGACACGGGAGATGCAAATGCAGGGAAAGAGGCCACCCTGTGGGGGGGGGGGGACCAGGGACGCAGCTGGCCACAGGCAGTGGCAAGACAGCCTGGAACTTTATTTCAGCAGGGGATTTGGTGGCATAGGTGAGGTGAAGGGGAGTCCTAGACTTCTGAGCAATCCTTCAACTGAGAAAATAGTGTTACTTCCTGAGGTATTCAAATAGACAAAAGTGTCAAAAGGAAAATACGCAATCTCACGTCCCCTACCCCGATGTCCCAGCACTTACGGGAGGAGAATGTGTAGGCCCCTCTCTGCTGCTGTCCTGGAGGGTGGGGCCATGGACACAGAGATGATGCCAGGATTTGGTAAGGGGAAAGCTGCTCTGTTCTGATTGCAACCCTGAAAACAGCCCTTCACTGCACTCTGCAGCTGTCTCTACTCTGATGACCAAAGTCTGCTTATTTCCTGGATAGTGGAGCATCTCAGCCAGCACTGTGTAACGCTGCTGATTCGTTTTATTTCTGCTCTGGCCACGTTCACCTCTCCTGGGCCAAACACACCCAATGCTAAGTGCAAAGAAAAACACCACTCTGCCTGAGCTCCTCCTCACCTCCATCCCAGTCCTCCTTTCCCAAACCTGGACAGGTCAGCTGAAGGGCCTGGGCAATGATGCCACTGCCCACACCCTGCACATCATTTGAGAGAAGGCCCCTATGTAATGATCAGGTGGGGGCTGGAAGTGGTCTTGGGGGCTTCAGGCGTGGGGAAGAAGGCCTGAGTGCTAGCTTCGCCGCTGCCTGCCAGCAGCCTGGCCATCACCTGTTGAAAACCAGAGCTACATCCAAAGAGCACTCTCAGTTTACGGAGTCCCAGTACTGTTTTGGCTTATTTATGTTGCTGGTGACCCCTTTATGAATGTCTTCGGCCTGGACTTCTAGCCTGAACATGCTTAAAGATGTACTTTCCTAACCCTATTCTCCATCCAGGAGACCATGTAATCAGTGCTAGGGAAACATCAACGAGTCGTAGGGAATCCTGGTGCAATTTGACAAGAGTGCAGGGAAGGAAAGCTCAAGTGAGGAGCTGGTTTGGACCATGATCATCCATGGATGGATCTTCCACACTGGGGCCTGGAGGTGGGGTCAGGGTTCTGGCCAAGCTGAGGATACTCTCCATGTATACACAGAGAGCAGCATGTGGTTCGGACTCTTTGCTCACCCAGCTTGGGGGTGTGTTTCCCATCTAATCACATACAAGCATGTGAGCCTCTCGCCAGGCTTCTTCGTGCAGACCCCTTCTCCTCCCACTGCCTCCCTGGCCTCTGAGAATGGAGGAGTTTATTGTAAACCACCAGGCTGGGTGCAGCGGAGTCAGAAGAATGACTCACAGGCAGGGTTGCAACCACCAGGGGGCGGAGCAGCGCGGCCCTCCCAGCAGGGGCGTATGACTAGAGTGAGGAGGGGCGCGAGTGCGCGGCCCACAGAAGAGCCGCGGTTTAGATCAGTGGACGGATTGGCACAAAATCTGGAATTACTATTTTCCAATAGAGAGAGAAAAGGGGCTTGTAGGAACTGTTCACTGAACCAGGCAGAGAAAAATATTTTTCAAGGTGTTTTTTTAAATGGTTTCAGTCTTTTAGACACAATTACAAGTACTTTTATAGAAATGTCTGTGTAACTAAGACAACACACACATTTTTAAAGTGGTTTATTTACACAGAATGTAGATTTCTTCATGTGAAAAGAAATTCCAACAATTGACCGCAGCCTTTTTGAACTCCAGAGACTGAGGCCGGGGTGTCTACATTTCGGTGACCTTTCTTGGTTCCCATCCCGGGCTTCGCTGTTCCATGCTCGCAAAGCCTCTTCCGAAAAGAAATCCCTCGCTTAAAAGAGCAGCATCTCTTCATCCAGGGTCAGAGTCAGACTCCGCCGGCGTTCAGTTTCAAAGAATCTCACACGGCCCTTTTTATAAAGAGCAAAGCTTTTCTCGTTCCATTGTCATTTACACTAGTTTATTTTGGTTTGTGGAAAAAAATGTATTATCTTATAAAGCACATTTCAGCAGACAGCATCGAGCACTTTGAGGCTTCATTTGCATAATAAACTGCCCAGAACAATGATAATCCATAAAAGGGTCCCATAAAAGGACCCTTCAGAAGGTGGCTGAATAAGTGGAAAAACAGGATGATTATCACAGCCACCAACAACGTCACCAGGAGTGCAGCTTCATAAACAGCTTGTCAGTTAGTTAATTAGTTGGGGGTGAAGGCCACAGCTGGGGCAAAAGGCCTGAGCCAGCCAGACAGTGTGCTTGCCAGACACTGACCCCAGCCAAGATCACATGCAGAAAGGGGGCAGCAGGGCTGGAGGGAACGCTCAGGTTTGACCAGACACACCTGGATTTGAAACCTGTCCTCACATTTCCGGGATGTGTCATTACACAGAGCTTTGGTTTTCTCATCTGCAAAGCGAACGTAAAAATACCTACCTTATAGGGTCGATTTGAAGACCAGAGGTTGGGTAATGGCAGGGTGGGGAGAGGGACACCACTGTTTCAGGACCATACGCATTGTAATCACCTCATCCTCGTGGCAATCCAGGTGCTGGTATATTTGGCATTTTCATGTTACAGATGAGGAAAGTAAGGCTCAGGCAGATGAAATAACTTGTCCAAGGCCACTCAGCAAGTAAACATTGAAACCAGAAGCCCCGCCCCATTCTGCAGGTCTCCCCAGCCTGGCCCCGCTTCTCCCTCCCAGTGCTCCCTGTCTTTGTGGTGTCTGGGGGGCTCCTCCCTGCTCGCCAGGTGATTACACAATTCTGCTTCACAGGTGGCTCATTTTTCTTTCCTGGACCTGAAGCTCCTTGAGGACAGTGACAAGATCATAACTGTCCTCGTAAACACTGCTCTGCCTGTTGATAGCTCCCCTTATTCTGAGGACTCCCCTGAAGGCAGCTCAGGAGCAGCAGTTTCCCTGCCAGGCCCTGCAGAGCCTGGGAGAATCTGCATCTGGTCCAGGCCTGTTCTCTTCTGGATGGAGCCTGCCTGGTTGCCCTCTGCCTGCTCATGGAGGTCTCCACTGCTCAGACCTAGGCCCTGGGAGGCCCTGGGAGAAGAGTTGACCAGTGGGAAGCAGGAGAAGGGGAGGGGATAAAAGCAAGGGAAAGCCGGATAGCAATGAAGAAGAGAGGTGGAAATAGTGCCTGTGCCAGGAGCAGGGTGCCCCACCTGCCCTCAGAGCTCAGGCAGAGTCCCCATGGCAGGGGCTGGGGCTGGGGAGGAAGCCAGGCAGATGCCACTGCCTCACAATTAGAACAGCATTGTGGCTCAGAAAACCATGACACCAAGAAGTGCCAGGAGGGCAGGGACCTACTGAGGGGCAGCAGTGGCGTGGCACAGGGGCAGCCTGTCAGCACCTCGGCCTGACTGCAGTTTAGGGGTGGGAATGGGGTGAGGTGTAAGCTGGAGATGGGGCAGGGGCCGGTCCCGAGGATGCAAATGACTCAGGCCTCTTGGTGCCAAGCAGGAAAACCCAGCCACAAGCAGCTTAAACATGATAATGGGCATTTATTGACTTGACCACCTAATAAGTCTGGGCCCAGCCAACTAGGTTCTCAAGTGACATCACCAGGTGCTAAGGTCAGCCCCACCCACCCACTCACGGGCTGAGAGTGGGGAGAGCAGGTTCTGCTGAGCAGGAAAATAGCAAATATTCACCATGCAGGGTAGCAAAAAGAAAAAGAATAGACAGGAACATGATTGGAGAGAAAGCTGAAAAGAAAAAGGGAGCAGGAGGAACAGGGAAAAACAAGAAGCGGGGAATCAGGCAAGGAGTTTCAAGACAGGTCCTTGCAAAGGTTGGGAAAGAAAGAGAGAGGCTCCAGCAGATTTGCAGGGTTTATTGTAAATTTGGCAAGAGTTACACAGAAACCAAAAAGAACGTGTGGTTCTGCTCCTGGCCATGGTGCGGTCATTGCATCACCTTCAGCCTGGCTTTCGGCAAAGCTCACCTCCCACCCCGCCCCACCCTGCCCGTGGAGGTGAAGAGCAGCTGTTCTTGGTCACTCGCTTCCTAGTCCCATCCATAGCTTGGCTCTGGGAATCCTCTCTTCAAAGCTCTGAGCAGATTCCACCGGTGTCTACAGGCTGTGGCCCAAAGCCGTGCAGCTGAGAGTGTGACGAAGTGGCTCCACACCTCCCGCTCCGGCTGAGCAGAGACACTGCCGCTTCACTGCCAGATCCAGGATCGTCACCCTCCAGTTCATTCTGGGCAAAGCCACCTGCCACCCATATGCACACTTGTCCTCAGCCTAACATGGGCCCCATGGCTTTCACCACCCCAAACTTTGGCTCCTAACCCTTTGTTCAGACAAACCTGGTTGCAGACCAAGATGCTTGATCTGTGAAGATGCAAGAAACTCTTATCACTGCTTTTGCTGTAACCCCTCTTTCTTCTCTGTCTTTCGAAGCATGCTTAGTGGGTTGGAAAGCAAAACTAAATGGGAAGAACTAATATTCATTAAACTCTTGCCATGCACTGAGCTCTTTCTATAGTTTTCTAATCCTCTTTTTCCTTTTCTGCATTTGCTGTTTCTTAAATTGAGTATTGTTTTGTGCAAGACAAAATGTTTTCATTAAGAAATCCTCTTTGCCTGTGTTAGATGGGTTGCTGGCACCTCACTGGCTGGTTCTCAGTGGAGGTGGGCATTCTCACTCAGCCATGCAGACCACAGGGCTCAGAGAGCTGACCTGGCTGCCCCAGGCCACGGAGCAGTAAGAAATAGAATCACAATTCAAACCTGGATTTTGTCTCCAAATCCAGCAAATCTGAACGGTGGCGCTATAAAGAAAAACATAAATAAATAATTTACCTGAAAGGACAGATAAAAGCACTTTTCTTTCTGTTGCAAATAACATAGGTTAGAGTTCAGATTTTAAGTGCCAGGGAGGTTAAGTCCTGTCAGGAAATTTTTGTCCAAAAAGGGGTGAAAATTGCCATGGTGTGCAGAGTAAAAGGGGAAGGGAGCAAAGCTGAGGTGTAGGAAAGAAGATGGGAGGTATCTGCGCCCCTTCCCTGAAAGGAGGTGTGGGCAGCAGCGTGTGTGGGGTGGAGACGTCCTGAGAGAGGCCCGAGAGTGCCCTCTGAAGAGGAAACCGCATCACCGAAGCCTGGGCTGGCCCCAGCTGAGGGCAGGAATACCTGCAAGCCCAGAGGGCCGCAGGGCCTCCTGAGCAGTGTGGGCTGAGTCAGCTCCTTACTGGGCAGGGTTAGACTGAGACAGGAGCTCCAGCCCCAGCAGGCTGGAGGTATTCGTTGGGCACCATCGCATCGAGCCCAGAGGGTGACTCCAGAGCATGACTGTCTTTCAAACTTTAGAAAATCTTGGGACCTTACTCTTACACAAAATTCACAGATGTTTAGCAAGTATACTGTTTCAATAATGTCTGTAAGACATAATTTAGTAGAAAAAACTTATATAAATCCATAATCGACGTTTGGAAGATATTGGAAAAGCAGTATGGATAGCCACATTAGGGCATTGAAGTTGGTGGTGAAATCGTAGGACTTCTAATAACATTTCTTTCATTTTTATGATTTAAAAATTATTATCAAGAAAAACTTTCATTCTATAGAACTTTAGAATTCCTAAGCAGGATGGAAAATCTCAATCCAAACCAATCTTGCCCTAACTCTTCCTGCCAGATGAGATCATTTTGGTAAAAGTAGATTTAATTCTATTAAAGCTGCTTTACTTTTCAATGCTTAATAGGATGCAAATGTATGCAATTAATTTAGTTATTTGCATAATAAATATTCCCATAAAGTATCTTTGCTGCATGATCCCAAGTGTTTTATTATTAATTATGTTTTTCAAAATCAGAGAAGAAATATGAATGTTGGTAAGTATTTTAAAAAGCATCTATTCCTGTTTGTTTCTCTAAATTCAGTTTGGGATTAGTGGCCCTTAGCAATGGATTAGAAATTTGCAGTGTGCAAGAATGGGTCTGAGAAGCTTGGCTCCTGAGCTCAGGAAAACCCTCTGGCTAAGATGGAGGTGGCAAGATCCGTCCTGAGCTCTTCCTGCACCATCCTTGCTTGGAGCTCATTGTCCTGAAAGAAAATGGAATATACAAGCAGGGTGTGAGGAGAGGAAAGCAAGCAGGCCCTGCACTGTGCTGTACCCACCCCAGTCCCTCATGTCTTCACTGGAGGTTCAGACCCTGCCTGGGTCCAGCCTGGGTTTCCCTCCTCCTCTGCAGGGAGGAGCCGCTCTATTCCCACCTTCCCACTCTGTCCACTGTTCTGCAGATCTGCCTGACCTCAGGTAGACCAGAGTTTTCATTGCATTAAAATATTTTCTCCACCACAAAAGCAATATATAGTCATTATGCAAAATATGTGATTCACAGATAAACAAAAGGAAAAATGCAAATTAACTATAATCCCACCATTCAGAAAAATTTATTTTTAATACCTTGAGATGATCAGCATGCCTTTAAGTTTCCCAGAATTAAATGTCTGTGGCCAAATCCTTTGGAGAAATCTACATGTGAAACTGGCTGCAGATCTTCCTCATTCCAAAACTCACTTGAACACAGAATCTTCATGTAGTAGTTTTTAATAAAACGTGTATTCTGTGAGACGGGTTTTGAGAAATCCTAGTGTAATCCCTGCTTGTTCCTGGCAGCTGCCCCCAGTGCCGTCTCTGTCAGGCTGGTGGCCTGTCTGTCCCTGCGGAGGAGAGAACAGGACCTTGCACTGCTGTGACCGCCAGTTCCCAGGCCCCGTGGGATGAGCCGTGTCCTCACGGCAAGCCTGCCCTGCCTGACCTCTGGGTCTGTCTCGTGGCTATTGTCTCTTTATTTTTCAGCTACCTCTTGTCTTCATAACATGAATGTCCTTGCCAGCATATGGGCACAGTTTGATTAGGGGAGAATTATCACCCGTTTAATGCAATATACAACCAGTGTGAGATGCAGAGACACCGAGTCTTGTGTAAATTATCTTACAAATCTGAGGCCAGGCACGGTGGTTCAAGCCTGTAATCCCAGCACTTTGGGAGGCTGAGGCGGGAGGATCACCCGAGGTCAGGAGTTGGAGACCAGCCCAGCCAATATGGTGAAACCCCGTCTCTACTAAAAATACAAAGATTAGCTGGGCATGGTGGCAGGCACCTGTAATCCTAGCTACTCAGGAGGCTGAGGCAGGAGAATCATTTGAACCTGGGAGGTGGAGGTTGTATTGAGCTGAGATCGTGCCACTGCACTCCAGCCTGGGTGACAGAGTGAGTCTCTATCCCAAAAAAAAAAATTAAATAAATAAATAATAATTTTACAAATCTGAGATATGCGCCTGAAAGACACATCTTAGATTTCTCGCCAACTCATTGATCAAGTCACCTATCCACAGAATAACTGAGTCAGTCTGCTGTCTTCACCCAGGAAAGTGATCAGGTCTTTATAGCTCAAGGCTGGGTTTGCTTGTAGGAAATCCCTGTGTGGGCTGCAAGATTCAAGATGCATTGGGGATTTCTCCCTCAAAAATATCTTCTCCATGGATGCCCCAGGGAGCTCTCATGGAAGCTATCAGAGTGGTCTTTGTCCAGGAGATGCAGTCATCCTCATGGAAGCTATCAGAGTGGTCTTTGGCCAAGAGATGCAGTCATCCTCATCGAAGCTATCAGAGTTGTCTTTGGCCAGGAGATGCAGTCATCCTCATGGAAGCTATCTGAGTGGTCTTTTGGCTGGGAGATGCAGTCATCCACAGATCTCTTCTTGTTTTAGCCACCTCTCTCTCCTCCGTGGGCTCTCTAAGGAAAATACATGCATAGGCTAAACTGGCAAAGGAAAGCAAAGTAACGCTTTATTATTAATTGGGACTTTGGTTCCAAGCCTCCAAACAGAATTCCATTAAACTATGTTGGACTCAATAGGTAATTCTTCATGAGAATTTATGAGAATATGCATAAGGCAGCTCAGAGCTTAGAACCAAGTGCTGGGCAGTATATTCCTTTTTATGCACTCACAACCAGACCTTAAGCTTGACTCCATCAACCAGGCCAGAGAATTCCTACAATAGCAGGAGGAAATGGAGTCACAGCACAAGGGACCCTGTTTGTCTGCAGTGCTCAGCACAAAACCAGCCAAGCCTGGTTGCTGTATTAGGAAGAGAGAACTTTCCGAGAGAAAGCCTGTCTGGCCCTTGGCACTTCCCGCTGCAGTCACTGGAGAGGTAAGAGAGAAAAGGGGCCACTCTGTCATGTGTTTTCTCTGAAAACAAACCCAGGACACTATGACTAAGCATTGACCAAGAGCTTGGAATTTCCTGTCCTTGATGCCACAAGCAATCCCAAACTTGGCAATGTAAAATAGCAACTGTTTTGTAGTGCTCTTGGGTTCTGCAATCCAGGGATCTGAGAACAGCATTGTAGGGTGGTTTATCTCTGCTCCACACTGTCTGCATCCTCAGCTTGGAAGACCGGGAGGCTGGAGGCAGCTTGGCAGCTGGGGTCTGAACCCCCCTGCAGGCACACTTCTTCACATGGCAGTTGATGCTGGCTGCTGGCTGGGACCTCTGCTGGGCTGCCAGCCAGAATATCTGTTTGTGGCTTCTCCATGTGGCTGTTTGGGGTTCTTCAAATTTCTTCTAAGAGTGAACATCCCAAGAGAACCAGGCTGAAGCCATATCACCTTTCGCATGCTAGCCTTGGGAGTAAAATCATGTCCTTCTCATTGTACTCCATTAATCAGGGCAGTCGCAAAGATCCAGCCAGACTGAATGAGAGGGGACAGACATCATCATTCCACGGCTGGTACGTTAAGCTTACATTGTAAGAAAAGCATGTGGGATGTGCAGTGTTATTACTTGCCACCCAACTCACCCTCGATTAGTAATAAAGTGTCTATATGGGACACGTGGAAGCAAGGGGGAGAGAAATAAGAGTCCTAAGTTTCTGCCAGATACTGACTGATACTGGGAAACGTGCCTAAAACCCACTGCTGGAATCCTTCTCTGGATCAGAGCACGCAGCCTCAGAACAGTGAGTAATTAAGCTGTTATTGGCTGTTGGTGTCAATAGCCAATACTGACTACACACTTCATTGTCTATTGGTCATATTAGAAAGCAGACGGGACTGAAGATCTAGACGGATAAATTGTTCTTTGGTGAAGGGTTTTGGGACACGTTTCATCAATAGGTTCCTATCAGGCAAATGCTCCAGGAGGCTGGAGATGAAAACTGAACAAATAACTGAAAGAAAAGAATAAAGAAATGCCTTCTTTAAGCCTTGGCTCCTTCACAATTTGACCATGACCAGTCCTTCCCAGAAGTGAGAGTCAGCTGGGCAGGAGTTTTCCTCCATCAGTGGAGTCATTTTATCAACATCCAGCCTTAGAGCGCTTCTTTACGGAGGGAGAAACTCAAACACAAGGCAGGGGAGGTGACAAGTGTGTTCTCCAGGCCTGGGGTTTCAGGTGAGGGTGGAGGTGTGGGGCCAGGCAGGTGGTGGCTATCCCCTCTTCCCCATAAGGAAGATAACACGAACATGCAGGTTGATGCAGGGAGAGCAGAATTATGGGATGTTACATCTTACAGAAATATCAGTTATGTTTCTTTAATTGTCAGTGACAAAAAGATATTTTTTCTACAAATAAAAAAGGCCATATTTGGAATAATATGGAGCATCTTACAAAAGGAAAATTGTACCTGTACCTAATAAGCCATAGTAGCTCTGGGAACTGAATCTCGGGCACCAGGAACAGTCTCGCATGTCATTGTAATCTGGATTCATGAGCTCTGACTTTCCACAGTCTTTGAGTCACTGAGCACTAGGATCAACTTTCACAGAGGATCCAGATAATCAGCCAGCTTAAGTCACACTCCTACAGCTTGGCTAGGGTAGGGATTCCTCACCAACAGTCCCATAAGATCTTATCCAGTCAGGAGGGGCTGGCCCAATCTGAAGTGCAGCCGAGACCGGGAGCCACAGACCTGGAACCTGTGTACTCAAAGAGTTGTCCACATGCCAGCAGCACTGGCCCTTCCAGGAGCTGTTAGAAATGTAGAACCTCAGAGCCTACATTGAAGATATTGAATCGGAGTCTGCACATCGCTTCTGAGAAGCCATGAGCTAAGCTGATGCCATTCAGCTGGGTAGCATCGCAGTCACTGTGCAACTTTTAAACATACAGCTGCCCAGGCCCACTGCAGACCTGCTAAATTCAAGCTCCTTGTAGTGGGGCCAGGGCCCTGGGACTTCATACAAAACTCTGCAAGTCATCACTGATGAGAAAACCAAGACTCGATGAGGTAAAGCAACTTCCCCCACCACAAAACCTAGTCCTGTGTGAGGGAGCCAGGGGTATTTACATTTTCCTAATTTACATCCTTTTAAACTGCATTTTTCAGAGTCTCCTGAGCTCAGAGGAAGAAGCTGCATAACCAGCACACTTCCAGAGAGGACCGAGGAAGAGAGCGTTGCTTCAGCCAGGGTCTGATTAGTCATGCCTGGCAGGCTCTGCTGAGCTGGGTGCTCATGGGTTTTGCTTGCTGAGCTGAATTAATATATTAGTGGATTTCATGTTTGACTCGCTCTTTCTTTCTCACTGCGCAGGAGCTAAAGGAGTGGAGCTGGGGATGCCAATGTTTCTGTTTAGACAGCTGAAGGGGCCATGCGAGCCCACAGCGAGAGCTGCAGGAGCAGCTACTACAGGGAGTGGGCAGATTTTAGGGTGCGCAGATTTGTACTTGGTGTGGCTCGGTTGTACATTCAGGAATCTCTTTCCTTGTGATACGCAGAGCTGCACGTGGAAGATGTTAGGAACACAGCTGGGTGCAGTTTTGCTGGTTAGTTCTGAACAAACCTACAGACGTGAGATTTGAACTCTATAAGGGAAGAAAGCAAGGAGGAAGAAGGCACTGAGGCTGCCTGTCACCAGGAGGGTTCTGGGCAAAACGGGGTAGAGTGACTTGGGACAGTTCCTCCTAACGATAGCACAGGCAGTAGGGGTTGAGACACAGTGGGGTTGAGACTTGCTTAAATGTATAGTTATTCAGCCAGCCATTTTCATAGAATAATTGTGGGTTGCCCTGAGCTGCCGCGTTCACATGTTCTGCAGTGGAGTACTATATGCTAATGTGAGATGGGAGTACACCCAGATTTCACCCCCCTAGAACGTGGTTTTTTTTTTTTTAAAGTAAAACAATGCTATGGCCAGGTGTGGCCTGTTAGCTTTAAAAACAAATGGCCTCTGCTGAGGGACACTTGGGTTGTTTCCCTGTCTTGGCTACGGTGAGCAGTGCTGCAGTGGACATGGGAGGGCAGGCAGCTCTTCTACCCACTGACCTCCTTTCCTGTGGGTTTGTCCCCAGAAGTGGGACCTGCTGGATCATATCGAAGCTCTGGTTGTCATTTTCTGAGGAACCTTCAGGCTGTTTTCATCCTGGCTCTACTAATTTACATTCCCACCCTCAGTGAATAAGGGTTCACTCTTCACATCCTCACCAGCACAGGTTACCTTTTTTGACTTTTTCATAATTGCCATCCTAACAGGTGCGAGGTGATAACTGTTTGCGGCTTTAATTTGCATTTCCCTGATGATTAGTTGAGGACTTTTTCATATACCTGTTGCCCATTTGTATGTCTTCTTTGGAAAAATGTCTATTCAGGTCCTTTGCCCATTTTTAATCAGGTTATTACTCTTATTATTTTGCTACTGAGCTGTATGAGTTTCTTATTTATTTAAAATATTAACCCCCTTTCAGATATATGGTTTGAAAATGATGTCTTTTATTCCATAGGTTGGCAGATGAATGGATTAAGAATATGTGATACACACACACACACACACACACAGGCACACATACTAAAATATCTTTCAGCCTTAACAAGAAGAAAATCTTGCCATTTGCAATGACATAGATAAACCTAGAAGACATTATGTTAAATGAAATAAAGCAAGCACAGAAAATCACATACTACATGATCTCACTTATATGTAGAATCTAGAAAAGTTGGAATCATTGAAATAGAGTAGAATGAAAGCCACCAAGAGCTGGGGGTAGGAGAAACAGGGAGATGATGGTCAAAGGTCAAAGGACACAAACTTGCAGGTATAAGATGAGTCAGTTCTGGAGACCTAGTGGACAGCATGGGGACTCCAGTTAATAATGTGTTTGACACTTGGAACTTGGAAAGAGTCGATCTCAAGTATTTTCACTACACACACACACACACACAAGTACCTGTGAGGTGAAGGATATGTTAATTTGCTTGATTGTGGTAATCATTTCACAATGTATGTCTATATAAAACATCATGCTTCACACTTTAAATACGTAGAGTTGTAAATGTCAATTTTACCTCAATGAAATGGCAGGTCCTTTCCTTGACCTGCCACCTGACCTGCTACAGTTCAGAGGTTTGAGGCAGGGTAGAGTCACCACCAGAGTGGAGATGGAGGCAGTGTTTAAATAACACACAATTATGTTGGGAAGTCAAAGGGGACACCAGGCTCTCTAAGGAAAAGCTTGGCCTCTTCAGGACATTCTAGGAGGACAGCACATAATCCACACCCCACACCATGCCTTTCCCTGGGTGATGTCATTCCTGAATCCACACCCCACACCATGCCTTTCCCTGGGTGATGTCATTCCTGAATCCACACCCCACACCATGCCTTTCCCTGGGTGATGTCATTCCTGAATCCACACCCCACACCATGCCTTTCCCTGGGTGATGTCATTCCTGAATCCACATCCCACACCATGACTTTCCCTGGGTGATGTCATTCCCGCTGTGGCATCTGGATCATCCACCTGCCAACACTGCCCAGAGCCTCACCTCCAGACCAGACCCACCCTCTTCAGATGGCCCACCCTGTAGACCCTCTCAAAGAGCTCACAGGCACCCCCAGAGAAGGTGTCTCAAATTCCTCCTTCTCTCACCAGCCTGTTCTCACTGAAGTCTTGGTTATCTTAGTAAATGGCACCACTACCCAACCAGTTGCTTGAGTCCATAAATGTGGGACTTGCCATTCACACCACCCGTTGTCTTATCACTCAGTTTAAACACATCTCTCAGCCTTGACCATTTCACTTTCAAAGTATACCTTGAATCTCTCCTTACCTCTTTGTGTTTATGGCCACCATCTGACTCTAAGCCACAGACACCTCTCATCCAGATGTGGCTACAGCCAGTGTCAGCCTGCCAGATACACACCCTGCTCACTTTCCTGCTTCCCTCCAGTCTATTCCACTTGCACACACATATACACTCACACACACTCATTCACATGCACACTACCACACACACACACACACAGCACTGCATACACTCATACTCACTTCCATACCCATGACCACACACTCACACACTCATGCACATACAGTCACATACAAACATGTGATCTTTAAGAACGTATGTTATATAACATTGTTTCTGCTTACGCTTCATCAGTAGCACCCTGTGGCATTTTGTATTTAATTCAAACTTCTTCACTTGTTCCAGAAGCTCCTGAGAGCCATGGCCCCTGCCGGCCTCCCAGGTTCCCCTGATACCACACCCTGCACTGCCCAGTCCCTCCACACTGACCCCCTTTAGCTGCTCAAAGTCTTCCTCTGCCGTGTAGTTTCCACACAGGCCCTCCCCTGCTGGGGTGCTCTCCCTGCCAGTCCTGGCCTAGCTACTCCTCCCGTAGACCCCCTGATGGAAGGAGGCTCCTTGGACCCAGGCACTGCTTCTGTGCTGGTCTCCATGGGGCCTCAGTAGTGGACAGTGTGTCCATTGTTCACTGAGTGAGTGAGCGTTCACTTGCTTACAGTGTGTGTCCTACACACTGTGCTCCATGAGGGAAGGGACTGATTTGCTCATCACTGAAATGCCCGACTTTCTGGTATTCCACACATGCTCAGTAATACCTGACTGAACAACTCAATACCATCTCCACTATAGAGACACCCACAGAGTGCGGCAGAGGCAGCCATGGGCCAACGTTTATGTGATTGAGTTTCTGATGCTATCACAGGCCCTAATTCCCCGTGTGAATTTGGGCAAATTGCTGTACCTCTCTGAGCCCAACTTCCTCACCTGTATGTAAGAGGGTTTACATCAGGCATCTTTATGGCCCTGAATTCTGAAAGCATAAGAAGACTTCACTTCCTGGGGTATTTGGGGCTGGCCCGTTATGTTTGCAGGGAGCCTGGTGGTGTTCCTGTACTTGTCCTCCATTTTTTGGCTTGAAGTGTTGAGAGCGTGTGCGCTTACTTGCTGGAGACCCCATGGTGTGTAAAGCTGTGGTTGCTGGATTTGGTAACAACCTCTGCTGGAGCCTGCAGAGCCCCAGAGCAGTGGAACTGGCAACTCCCTGGGATCCTGATCCTCATCAGTTTGGATGCTTCTTGTAGCCATGTGACCCATCTGTGTCTCTACTTCCCTCTATGGGACCGAAGACCGCCTGACCGTGGCTCCATGTGGATGTGAAATAGGGTCTGGAGTGAGCCAAGTGGAGAGTAGTGGGTGCCGCCCCGCCGGCTGCGACACTGGGCTGGAGTCTGTGGTGGGTGGTGGACCCATTGAGCAGGCAGTGTGCACCTGATCTCATGCCAAGGGAATCCACGCGGTGCTTTCCTTGTTTTCTGATGAAAATCATTGGGTACAGTGAGAGAGCTGAGCCACCTGTGTGCCAGGTGCCAGAGATCAGTGGCCTCACCATAAACTTGGCCAGGGCAGAAGATGGCTGAAGGTCAAAGTAGCTGCAAGAGGTGTTGTTATCAAGCATGAAGATAAATCGCTTGATATCAGCTTAAAAATGACAAGAATAAAGCTCCTCCTTTACGCTGCCTGAGACCCTGTTTGCTGACAGTGATGGGTGTGAGCTAAAGCTCACTTGCTCTTGCCCCTTCAGATACAACCAGCTACTGTCCTGCAGAGATGGGCATCTGCCAACCTGCAGAGTCCAGTGTTTTGATAGAACAACTCTCTCGATATTCTTCTCTAACCCCCTCTTACCCTTCGAGCATTTCAAACACTGTCCTGGACTCTTCTCCCTCACCTCCAGCACAGAGGCACAGAGTGGAGAAGAAACACAGCACCAGGACCCTCTTTCCTATCTGTTTAGAGAGAAGAGGGTGGAGAGGGTATGGGCGGGAAAGTAAATAGAGACTAAGGGTAGGAGGAGAGAGGGGCAGGATGGGAGGGAGACAGGGCATGAGGGAGAAAGAGAAGTCATTGATGGGCAGAGGGTGAAGGGAGAAGAGGAGAGAGAAAATGAGGGGTGGAGGGAAGCTTGCCATGGAGGGCACAGAATGCATTTCCCCCTCAGAACACTGGCTTGAAGCAGAGAAAATGAATTTTAGTGATATTCAAGGTTGAAACATGCACCAGCAGTAGACACACTTAGAAATGGCTTAATAAATGCATTAACAATCTACAAAGACACAGAAAGGTCCAAGAATTCTAAATCCTCTCTCCCCTCTAGGTCTCAGCAGACCAAAGCAAGTTATTTTCTGATGAAAGGATTTCATCGGACCTTGATGCTCACTTGGATTTTTAAGTGGAAAAAGGTCACTGTGTCTCTGTGCAGTTGCATCATGCAATTCTAATGAGAGAGGCTTCTCAGTCACTCCAAATGTGACCGCGTGTGCAGATCCTCATGTTCTCAGACACCAGCCCCTTCTCCCAGACTGGCTTGCTCCAAACTGCAATCCTCTGAGGCCCATGATCAGTGTCCTGGTCTGAGGCACATGGAGTGTGTCACCCAGAATTTTTGGAATGGAAATGCACTGATCCTCACAAGAGGCAATCACCATTACACCAAGGGAGCTTCTATGGCTTTCTATTTGATCGCAGTTCTACTCCAGGAGGCTGCCACTCTGTTATGCCCAGGATAGGTTCATGAAGTGGATTCCTGAAATGCTGCGATTCACAGAGGGTTTCCTCTCGCGTGTGACTGAATTTATCAACATGTTTAATAAAGCTACGTGATCTCCCGCAGGCGTTGGCTGCATAGCATCGCGTGTCCACCAGAGCTGCCTCCCTCCCTGAGTCAACGCATCCCTGAAGATACACAGCTTATGTCAGCAGCACAGACCTGCATCCCCCATGGTGACTCAATTTACATTCCATACCCTTGCCCCTGCATGGGGGTCTTCTTGGAAACTCTGAGACAAGTTGGCTGTGTTAGGAGTCCCCTGATCTCAATCTTGCCCAGCCCTATGTGAACTTAGGTCTCTGGAGACTAAGAAGCCCCATGGGCAGAGGAGGAGGAGCAGCAAAGGCCCCAAGCATGAAGTGATTTGGGGGGAGGAGAGAGGAGTTTCCAGAGAGGGTGAGCACCCCATCCCCACTGCGGCACTGTCCCTCTGCCAATGCACACGATACAGCGGGAGTCCTTCCTCCCGCCTGGCTGTGCAGAGTGGCCCTGGGACCTCTAGGTGGGCAGAGAGCGGGAGGTGCAGCAGATGGAGACGGGCTCCTTATACTCTCTCCTCACTGCTGGGGAGGATAGAAGCAGGGGCCACGTGGCTTCAGAGCCTCCTGTTCCTCCCCTTCCCCAAATTCCTATCAACAGCTAACCAAATCCCTGCAAACACCCGCTCTCCAAGCACCTGCTAAGAACCAGGGGTCCTTGGCAGAGGACTCCCCTCGCAGTGGGTGCTCAGAGCCCACTGATCTTGCCCCTCCGCTGGCCCGGCTATGGGAACTGGCAGGTGGCAGCGGAGCTGGAACTTAGGAAGGGCAGGATGTCAGCTTGGAGCCATGCCGGCTGTCACCAGAGGCCGCCCCTCCCACAGCTAAGCCTTCCCGGGTGTTGTGTCATGAGCACACACAGTCCGGAGTCTCCGACACCACTTTGTTTCCCCTGCTCTATCCATGGGGCCACCTCTCACTTTCCCAAAAGAGAGGGCAGGGTGTCAAGCCGTCTCACAGATGGCAGAGCAGATGCCTGACCATACTCTCGAGCAGCTTCAGAGAAGTATTTATGCCCTGAAGTGGTTTCTTCAGGTGACCAGATGAAGGTGAGTTGCTGGACACCACCTACCCCAAGGCCCCTGTCCTCAGGGAGCTCAGGTCCGTGCCCCTCAGAGGTCCCTGCCCCTCAGAGCCAGCCAGCTCCCCCTTCCACCTAACCCTGACCAGCAGGAGAACTGTGGAAGTCAGGGGTCGGCCGTGCCCCCTTTCCTCAACCTTCCTGCCTCTCAGCCTTCCCAGGCTGCAGAATTTCACCCCTCAGAGGCTTCCAGAGTCTGCCCACTCCTGTGAGGAACCACCGTCCTCCATAAATGAAATGCAGCCCTTTCCCTGGGGAAGCATGGGGGGCTTACTGAACCCGCTTCTGTGAGGCTGGGCTTGACTAGTGGGCAAAGCTGAGTGTGGCTGGGCCTGGCTGCTCCAGCGGGGCGGTCCCTGCTGCTCCCCGACCCAGAAGGTGGCCTGTGGCCAGAACGTGGTCTTAGAGCTCAGCCCTGACCAGCTTGTGAACTCAGCCCCGGTCGACCCAGGAGGAAGCACAGGTCTCTTGTCTCACTGAGTCTCATCCCCTCAGCCACAGACCTTCCTCCCCATCTCCTCCACCCGCAGAGGTAACCGAGGGCTGGGATGGGGCTAGGAGGCCTCGTATAACTGTGGGAACTGTGGCTGGAGGGTGTCAGAGAGAGAACGCGGAATTCCAGTCTAGTGTGGAAGTGAGGTGAGAGATGCAGATTGCGGTTTTAAAATCTATATAAAATTACCAACTTGAATATTTCCTTATGACTCCTGGAATTCTACTTCTCGGCCCCTAAGTGTGGACATCTGATGCAGTTCTGGAATGTAGAAGGGTTTTATAAAGGTTTCAGGAAATGTTCTTCTTTCCCTATTACAAGAAACAATTGACGTTTCTGCTCCTATATGCTTTTCTTTCTGCTTTAAAAGCAGATAAAATTTTCAGCTACAGCTTCAAGCTAGTGAATAAAGCTGTGGAAATCTGGTTTCAATACATAGAATTCTACCTCTGCGATGACTGCCTGGCGGTGGCTGTTACGTGATTCCGGGGACGTAAGGCCTGTGAGAGTGAGGTCAGGGCTCTGCTGCACTGGGAAGCGTGGGGGCCGGCAGGTCATGATGATGTTGGAACAACTTCATCTAGATCACTTTCAGGATATCATGCGATACTCAGTGTGGTAGGAAGAGATCAGTACAATGCTTCTACTTGTACAGCATAACCTAGGTATGCAGAGGGCAAAAGACAGAAACCTGTGATCAAGTCAGCACTAGAGCCTAGGATCTATTAACTCCCTATGTACTGTGGTTTTCCTGGAGAAAGAAATTAGTAAATGATAAAATTGCAGCAGTCAGATATAAAATACAGAGTTGTCTATGAGTGAATAGACATTTAAGAAACAGCATGCATAGCTTCACAGATAATCCGGTGACGTAGATTGAAAGTTTGTTTCCTTCCAAGATTCCAATGTGAAAATCCCAACCTGGGAAGGAATGAACAAACGCTGCTGAACCCAGGAGGCCCAGCAAGTGGGCAGTGCGCTCCAGTGGGCCTGGAAGGCAGAGCATTGAGCCAAAGGAAATCGGGTTCAACGCTCTTCATTCCAGGGAGTTTGCCTTGTGGTTTGGACTTGCCTGAGATCCATCACTCCTTTCTTCTTTCCTATTTCTGTCTCGGGAGAAATGTCTGTCCTATGCTTGCAGCACTACTCTACTCTGGAAGCACATAACATTTAGTTTCACAGATTCCTGCCTAGAGAGAAATTTGTTTCAAGATGACTTTTACCTTGAGTCTTAGCCATATCTAATTTAGAGGATATTTATATAAGACTTCCGATTTGAGATTTAGAGTTGACACTGATGGGGTTGAGATTTTGGGGCTACTGGGATGTAATTAGTGTATTTTGCATGTTAGAAGCACTCTAGGCCCGGAGCTGAATGCTGCAGCCTGATGGTTTATGTCTCTTCAAGATGCGTATGTTGAACTCCTAACACCTAAGGTGATGGTATTAGAAGGTGGGGCCTTTGGGAGGTGATTAGATCATAAAGGTGAGGCCTTCATGAATGGGATCAGTGCCCTCCTAGAAGAGACCCCACAGAGCTCTCTCACCTTCCATATGGGGACACAGTGACAAGACGACTGCCTATAAACCAGGAAGTAAGCCGTCACCAGACACTGAATTCTCAGCACCTGGATTTTGGACTTCTGGTCTTCATAACTGAGAAATGCATTTCTGTTGTTTGTAAGACACTCAGTCTATGGTATTCTGGTATGGAAGCCTGAATGGACTAACACATTCAATAACTCAAAGTGATGTTTTAAGAACAGAAGATCTTGCCAACTGAAGGCACAGGCTTCCTCCCTCCTTACCTTCCTCTCACCCACATGGCTTCCCACCCCATCCCTTCACCACTTTTGTCACACCAACGCCACCTTCCCCTTTACCTCTCCCCCAGCATCAAGCCAACACTGCTGATTGCTGCTGACCTTCTGCTAATGCTAAATTTAAAATCAACTTTTTATTTAGAAAGTTTAAAACTTAAATTATAGACTTGGACCTAGGTGGAAGAGAGAAAGAAAAAAAGATTTCTAGACCCTGAGACAAACTCATACATCTGTCCATAAATCTGCTCATTTCATTTTATGGAAACAAAGAAATATGCTTAGTGGGTAGATTTAAATACTCAGACACTTAAAGTATAAGATAGCATGGCAACAACTAGTGGTGAGAAGAGTAGGGAGAGGTCCTGATTCTGCATTCCCCAAGAGCCTGATCTGATTACAATCTTTTGTTGAAATTACTCAATTGTTATTTTTAAGTATTTGATTTTCCCAGCTTTTTGTAAAAATTAAATAGACAGACAGACATACATACACTGTGAAGCTAAAGGCTAAGATTCAGCTGATTTTCCAAAGCTAATCATGAGAGTGGATGTTGTTTATGGAAGCTGAACAATATGACTTTCATCACCAGGCAGTGGCCCCTGGGCAAAGACTCCAGGGTCTCTGGATAAGAAGAAACTGATAGGGAAAAATGGCAGAAATGCTGCAATAAACAACCCTAATGAAGAAGAAATGTAAATCCATATATAACCAAGAATGGTTATTTCAGCTTCCTTCTCCTCCTTCTCCTTCTCCTCCTGCTCCTCCTCCTCCTAAGGATTTTTTTTGTCCCTTTATCAATGCATCATTTTTCAACTCTGTCACTTCCGCATAACACAGCCACCCTTTGCTGTTCTCAACTTTTCCTTTTTGTATTTGTTTGACACTAACTTTTCCCACAGTCTGTAGATTTCTTTTTGTCCTTTTCTAATAGTTCATGTTTTAGAAATTCAGAACAAACAATTTCTGAATGCTCCTCAGAACACCCATCTCAGGCAGAGAATCTCACCGAAATAGAGAAGAAGCTCATGCTCCTGGAAGAAACAGCCTGAGGAGAGCCGCTGGGCCACATCTGGCCACTGTCCACAGCGCTGTCAGATCCAACGAGAGCCGCTGAGTCACATCTGGCCACCGTCCGCAGCACTCACATCTGGCCACCGTCCGCTGCGCTCACATCTGGCCACCGTCCGCAGCGCTCACATCTGGTCACCATCCACAGAGCTCACATCTGGCCACCGTCCGCTGCGCTCACATCTGGTCACCATCCACAGCGCTCACATCTGGCCACCGTCCGCTGCGCTCACATCTGGCCACCGTCCGCAGCACTCACATCTGGCCACCGTCCGCTGCGCTCACATCTGGCCACCGTCCGCAGCACTCACATCTGGCCACCGTCCGCTGCACTCACATCTGGCCACCGTCCGCAGAGCTCACATCTGGCCACCGTCCGCAGAGCTCACATCTGGCCACCGTCCGCAGCGCTCACATCTGGCCACCGTCCACTGCGCTCACATCTGGCCACCGTCCGCAGCGCTCACATCTGGCCACCGTCCGCAGCGCTCACATCTGGCCACCGTCCGCTGCGCTCACATCTGGTCACCGTCCGCAGCGCTCACATCTGGCCACCGTCCGCAGTGCTCACATCTGGCCACCGTCCGCTGCGCTCACATCTGGTCACCGTCCGCAGCGCTCACATCTGGTCACCGTCCGCTGCGCTCACATCTGGCCACTGTCCACAGAGCTCACATCTGGCCACCGTCCCCAGCGCTGTCAGATGCCGACCAAACCCTGCTTTGGTGTTGAGGTGGTTTGTCTAGTAGCCTCCTTTCTTAAGGGAATTTAATCTGCTGCAAATGGTTCTCATGTATGCAATAGATGTTACTGTAACTGTTTTATAAGGTGCATTGCCTTCACCTTGCCAGGCTCTATGCCAGTCTGTGTCTAGTCTGATACCATTCCTGCACACATACATCAATGCCCCAGCATTTGGAGGGCTGGAGTTAGGAATAATCCTGTTGGTGACTTATTATTAACTATTGTATGGGACTTATTATGTATCTTCATGTTCTACTGTTCCCACCTCCCAAACCCCAAAAAAGGATGAGATCTGTTTTATAACAAAAACATTTACGATAAGGCCAATACCATAAAATAAGTAATAAAGTTAATACCAACAAAAAGAGAAGAAGTATGAATTACTGCTGTGGTTAGGGTTGACATTATTCCTACGATTGAGCT